>NC_000006.12:98101093-98252608 GCF_000001405.40 Homo sapiens | reverse complement strand
AATTCTACCAGGATAATTTGTGAGGAGATTGTATTGACACCTAATCATTAAGCCAAAGGGCCTCAAGTCAGTGTAATGTGGGCATAAAATTAATGTGACATCATTTTATACTCACGGGCTGGAGTCGTCTGGCTGGACATTTGTTTCCAGAGTTATCAGGTCAAACACAATGCCCTGCCTCTTTTCTGGAGAGTTATTACCTAGGAATTGCTGTGTCTCGCTCATAGAAAGAGTACCTGAGGTGAAATGGCAAACTGAACACCTCATTCAAAGTAACAATGCCAAGTTGGGCCATTTATTTTTATTCATTTTTCTTTTGTGAAGATTTACATTTCTGAACAGAGATCACAGAGCAACTGTGAAACCAAAATGGAGAAGGCATGAGGAAGCTACCTACATACTTTGTGGTGGCAAAACATAAGGATAAACTATTGTTTATAATTGTAAAATATTTTTTGTTAGGTTTGTTTTGGTAAAACTCCTACTAAAATTCTGGCAATGGGGTGGGGTCTTAGTGCTAGTTTTCGATAGAAGTGTGTACATGTGTAAATGTTTCAATATTTTCTTATGTGTTTTAGTAACAAATTGGGGGAGAGCATTTCTGTCATCTATCTGGGAAGATGATTTTCTATGAATAATAATCTAAAACAACCAAAATTCTCCTTTTAGACTAACAAGAAATATTATGAAAAAATTACAGAAGTACTGTGTTGGCTGTGTTATCAACTCTATTTTTCATTATTTATTTTTCTCTGCTCTCTGAGATATTTAAAATCCTGGTTTACAATAATTCCAGTATTCTCTTATATAAAGGTCTCTGTTTTGTAAACAGTGGGACAAGTATATTCATAAAAGACAACAGAACATCTGAAATGAGACCATTCCAAGACAAAAGATGTTCACTGTGCCAAGCCTTTGAAGAAAGACATTGCTTTTCAGAAGGTGTTACAAATTTGCTGTGAACAAGACCAGCATGAAGTTTTAGATCACTTCCTATATACAAGTTCTCAACCAGCATGTAAGAAAGCAAAATAAAGAACACTTGAGAAAATCTGAACTAGCTACCTGAAAACTATATGTTTAAAGAAAGTGTCACTAAGAAAGGGCATGCCTTCTTGCTGCTCAACTTCACTAGATGCCAGGTCTAATGACAGAGATTTTTAAATGGGTCCTGATCTCTCTAACCATTTGTCATCTCTTCTACCTACTCTGATATTCGCCATCCTGTCTAGAAGTGTATCCCCTACTCATCTTTCAGGATTGAGCTCAGAGGTCAACTCCACTTGGAAGCTTTCTCTGGCTCTTCTGCTCACAGCCTCCCATCATAAGCACTGTCCTTGGCCAAGTGTCCTTCCCTTGGCACTGAGCTGAAGTACTTAATACTCTCCATTCTCTTTGTTGGTTTACTTTTCTGATCTGTGATGCCCCATTCCCATCCCTGTTCCCTAACCCTAACACAACCCCAGTGACTAAACCATGAGGCCTTTTGAGGCCAGGGGTGATATCAGTCTTAAGTCTCCATCATTCATATACAACACAATATCTGCAAATTGCTGCCTAATCACTCTCCCATGAATGACTCAATGGGCAAGCAAGTAAATGAATGCATACATTAATGATACAAAGAATCCTGCTACAGTTTCTTTCTCTTCTCCTAGACATTTTTTAAAAGACAAATGCTGAGCAAAAAGGATTTTTTAGACTCTACAAAGATATTATATCATTCTATTACTGAGGAAAGAGATTGAGTTGACAGCTGACACAGAAAAAGCAAAACTACACAAGTATTATGCTTTTGTCTTTTTTCTTCAAGGAGAATGACTTGCAAACTGGAAAGGGTAAAAATGATGAAGAGGTAAATGTGAGAAGACAGTAAGGAAGTACTGAGATTCTTTAAATGAATCCAAATATCTAGGCTGGGTGAATTTCATCCTACAAAACTGAAATAAGTTACAGACGTGACTGCAGAGCCTCAATTGATAACGCTTGACAAAAAAAAAAAAAAAGCTAGCTAGAATACCAGATATGGGAACATTTCTCTGATTTTCAAAAAGAACAAAAAGGCCAGATATGGAAATTACAGGTAAGTGGGTATAACCTTGTCACTGATAAAGTTCCAGAAAAGTTTGTTTAAAGATTATTTTCTTAGGAAAAGGAAGTGATGCTCATTACTAGCTGGAAAGGATTCATCTAGTACAAATCACTTATAGAAGTCCCTTTTGTTTCTCTTATGCTTTTCTTTTTTGAAAAATGTGATTACAACATAAATGAGAAATTTGCAGCAGACATGAAAATATGAATCTCAGAACAATATTTGATCAAATTTCTTAATATTTCCATGATGATAAGATGACTTATCTTGTTGGTAAGACACTTGGACTAAACTGTTTAGGTAAGTGGATTTATAACTGGCCAAATGGCCATATCCAAAAGAATCATCCGATGTAACACTGTTACCATGAAGCAATAAGGTCCTGTCATTAGCTATATCTTATAGTACTATTTTATATTTAGATACATATGTAGAAAGGATAAGATATTGAATTCATGATTTTAAAATATGGTAGGTAAGTTCTCTATTATAAAATTCAGATTTTGAACATACGTCGACATTTTGGAAAAAATTGTCCAAAAGTGATTAGGTGAAAAAATGAGTTGAAATAAATGTAAGTTGAATAATGACACTGTTGAAAATGATGAATCTGCTTTCAGTTCACATGGAAAGGAGACTAGAACACAGCAGGTGTTATAGGGGAATACTCATTTCCCTTCAGGTTTCTGTGCAGCTACTTCCACTGGAGTAGCATTGCTGGCCTCTGCTTCTCTTTCTCACTCACTTCTGTCCATTGTGGGAGAGGGTGCTTCTAGATTGGTGGATGACGGCCATTAGTAGCTTCACTCCCCCCACCCCAAGTCAGTTATTGGATAGAACAATTTCATGAAAAAATCATGCTTTCTGGGGATCCCCTGTCTGCTTCTACCTGAGACCAGTTTGAGAGAGCAATCCTGGGTGAGTGTATTTTGCCTGCTTTGCGGATGGAAATTTTTCTCTAGATGGTCTCCCATGCCTAGCCTGGGAGTCTGTGAGTGGGTGGCTAGCATAGACAGTGTTAGCAAACCCTTTTAGCCAGATCCTTAAGTGATATTCTCTCACCCAAGTTTTTCAGTAAAATGGCTCATATCACGATCTCCTTCTATCTGAATCAGTAACTGCTTGCAGGTTAATATCGTTTGTTGATTATTAAATGTAAACCTGAGGATTTAAAAGGACCAAATGGCTATCTCCTAATGTGTGTTGCTCATAGCAGTGGTTGCTTTATTTTAATTGTTTGCTCTGGTCTTCCTCTCACAATAAAGGCTTTTCTCAAGTGTCTACTATTATCAGAGTAGGCAAAAAGAAAGCTAGATGGAACCACTGCATGTGTAAATAGGCATTGTTAAAAATGAGTTCTGAGCTAAAAAATTTAAAAATGGTGAAAAGTTTATTTAGGACTCCAAGATATCCCCTTCACCACTGGCAGATGACTGGAAGATTATTCTCTGAAAAGAGCTGACTAGGTCAGTGGTACTAAGACCAGTGCCACACTAAAATCAGACTCACTGGTAAGAATTGTCATGCAGAAAATTATGTTTAGAGGGGCAACCTGGATGTAAATATCTTTAGGACTTTTCTTTGGAGCTGGCTAGGGTCAAATTCTTCAGAAGAATTTCTTCCAGTTTCCTGCTTGGATGACATAAACATGACTGCTAACATTTTGGGACCTGGGTGAAGAATAAGGCTGAGGATTCAACATTCAGGATGAAAACACTCACTGATGACTTTGATTTCAGTAAGGTACTCCTGACCTTGCCTGTGCTTAGTGTCCCTTGATCCAGACCTCAGTTTTATTCTTTCTAGAGAATAAACTTCCAGACATCTTCCAGTTGGTAAGCAGTTTCTTGGGGAAATCTAAATAATCTTGCTTCCTAAATAAACTTTTAACCATTTTTAAAAATTTTTAGCTCCATGCTAAAATGCTTTCAGAAGTATCACCCAGCTTCTGAGCCTTCTGAGAATTTTTCAGTACAATTTAAGTGAGGTTGCTTCTTGGCTTGTCCCACAGCTAATTTAGGATTCAGCTTTTCAGGTCTATTAAATCAGTTACAACCTTTCCATCTATTTATCAGTTGTTGCTACTGCCTCTTGCCCAATTTCTTTGTTTCTGTGAGCTCCTCTCGTCCTGTCCTTTTTTTTTTTTTTTTTTTTTTTTCAGACAAGGTCTCACTCTGGTTGCCCAGGCTGGTGGAGTGCAGTGGTGGGATCTCAGCTCACTGCAACCTCTGCCTCCCAGGCTCAGGTGATTCTGCCACCTCAGCCTCCAGTGTAGCTGGGACCATAGGCTCCTGGCTAATTTTTTGGCATTTTGTTTTTTAGTAGCACGGGATTTCATCATGTTGCCCAGGCTGGTCTCGACCTCCCGGACTCAAATGATCCACACCCAGTGTGCTGAGATAACAGGTGTGAGCCACCGTGCCTGGCCTCTTCCCTGTTCTGTTACTGTGGTCTTAGTAGGGTTTTTCTGGAGTGGACTGTGGAGGGAGGGGATAAAAGCTAATGCATGTGTCTAGCATGCTGTCCTTGGGAGCTTTTTCATTTCACAGGTTTCTTACGTTCTTGTCTCCTGCAGCAGGAGTGAAGGCTGAGCTCAGTTACCAAGTATCATGACCAAGCTTTTGGCTTTGCACCTTCTCACTATTGATCAAAAAGCCACCTATTGCCATAAATAGTTTAAATTATAATACGGCTAATGTTACCATTACCTTTTTATCTAGATATATATGAATAAAAATTTAAGGAGATAATTAATATCAAAACTAAAGATACCGTTTCTTATTGATTTAGTACCTTTCTTATAAAATCAGTAACTAGTAAAAATAGTTCCATTCCTTTCACTGAGAGATTTTTAAAGTAGTAATTTAAAATATTAACTATATTTATTGATACATGGAGTTAATTTTTATTTTGAATTTTAATAACATATTTATTGCCTTTATTTTATAGTTTCCTTACATTAATACAGTGATACTGGTGTTTTATTTATGACACTGACCTTAAAACTTCTTTTGAAAACATATGTAGGTACAAAAGAGAGTTAAAGAAAACCATCAAGTCTGTAGAGGTAGTGTCCAAATATGGCAAACTCGTGATGAAGATACGAAAATGACAAGTTTAGGCAAGTAGGAAATACAAGTTAATGTGACTATTCAAGCCAATAAGCTAACAAAGTACATTACTAAATGTGTAGTGTCCACATTTTGGGGCAATTTGATCTCAAGATAGTGTGCATAATGCAGATTGCAGGTGCAGGATAGTGCAAAATACTATAATTGTAAAGAAAATAAAACCATGTTATTTTAGTGCCTAGTCCAGGGTCCAATATGTACTAGTAATTCAAATATCTGTTGCCTTGGAAGGAAAAAAAAAAGTGAAAGGAAGTGAAGATGTTTAACCTGAAGATAGAAAATTTAGTGGAAAAGGTGATAACTGTCTTCTAATATGTGCTGTCATGTGAAATGAAACATTTAGGGAAGTGTTGAGGTGTAGACTTAAATCTGAGAGCAGAATTAGTGGTTATAAGTTACGGGAGGGCTAATTTAGGCTATGTTTTGGAAGAACATCAAGATTTCATGCTTCAAGCATCCGTATGTGCTTTTGAAGTATTAAGTTATTAATATTATTCAAAATGTTGGAGCAGTAATGAGATAATTATTCTATAGAGATCTTGTCAAAGAGATAACCATATTTGGAAAGAGGCAGGTCATCAGACGAATCTTGAAGAAACTTTGGGAATAGGTTCTAGTACTTAATTCAAACCTACTGAATTAGAACCAAGTGCCAATGACCCCTCAGTTGCCTTCCAAGTTTCATCTGAATCTAGAGTTGGTTGTTGACTTCTAGGATATGTGCACAGGAGTGCCTCTTAGCAGTAGATGAAGTTCTCAATTTTGCCTGGGCATGATCCCTGATGGTTAAGTCTTTGATATCTCTTACCCTAATCACTTATCTGTGATGAACATCTAATCACTCTCACAGTTATCTCATACTCAAAATATCCCAAAAGAAACTTACTACATTATGTGATAAGATTGTTTTAAGGGCTATAAAAGGAAAACAAACAAACAAACAAACAAAAACAGAGTTCCATGACAGAGAGTGATAGAAGAAGAACAACTTTGGTGCAAAGCCAAAACCAGCACCACTTTAGTAGAAAGAAGGTTCATGTGGCTGGGCGCAGTCGCTTGCATCTGTAATCCCAGCACTTTGTGAGGCTGAGATGGGTGAATCGCAAGGTCAGGAGTTCGAGAACAGCCTAGGCCAATATGTTGAAACCCTGTCTCTACTAAAAAATAAATTAAATAAATAAATAAATAAATAAATAAATAAGCCAGGGGTAGTGGGGCGCACCTGTCATCCCAGCTACTCGTGAGGCTGAGGCAGGAGAATTGCTTGAACCCAGAAGGTGGAGGTTGCAGTGAGCTGAGATTGTGCCACTCACTGCACTCCAGTCTGGGCGATGAAGTGAGACTCCGTTTCAAAAAAATATATAAAGAGGCCGGGCGCGGTGGCTCACGCCTGTAATCCCAGCACTTTGGGAGGCCGAGGCGGGTGGATCATGAGGTCAGGAGATCGAGACCATCCTGGCTAACAAGGTGAAACCCCGTCTCTACTAAAAATACAAAAAATTAGCCGGGCGCGGTGGCGGGCGCCTGTAGTCCCAGCTACTGGGGAGGCTGAGGCAGGAGAATGGCGTGAACCCGGGAAGCGGAGCTTGCAGTGAGCCGAGATTGCGCCACTGCAGTCCGCAGTCCGGCCTGGGCGACAGAGCGAGACTCCGTCTCAAAAAAAAAAAAAAAAAATTATATATATATATATATATATATATATATATATATATAAAGAAAGAAGGTTAATGGATGGCATTCCTGACCAGGTGACATTAGAGCTGAATCCTGAAAGGTAAGAATAAGCTGACAAGCACACTTCTGGCCAGAGTGTCCAGGCAGGGGTAAGATTCCAAGAGTTCAGAATCTTAAGAAATAGATACACGGTCCAAGGGTGGCAGGAGCAAACTGAGGAAGAGGAAGTGTAAAAATGAGCTAAAGTTGGAATGCAACTTCAGAGCAAGTCGCACTGGCCCTGTAGGCCACGGCTCATGACCGAATTATGTGTTCCCTGCTTCACATCTCCTTGGCTCAATACATAATTTTACCATTAGCAATCCAATCCACACTCTTGAAATTCCCTATTTGTTTAATTCACCCTATTATATGTGTAGCATGTAAGTCCCTTAAGGACAACATTTCTACTACTTACCTTAATGTCCCTCATTCTAGTACCTAAAATAATGCCAGTAACCTAGTATTAAGGTGCTCAGAATAGGTGGGTAAGTGAAAAACCTTAAAAAAAAGCTAGATAAAGCATACCTTCTGTGCTGATTCAAAGTCTTTAGAATGGTCACTGCTGGCTTTAGATTTTGGCCAAAGTGTCTTAATAGCTACAATGATATATTGCTATAATTGAGCTGATACTTTTTGTCAGTATTAAAATGCCATAAAAATATAATTTGTTTTTTAAAAAATCTGTTGACTTAATTCACACTAGAACTTAACACAATAGATCATTTTAATGTCTATGTAATTTAACAGAAGGTTTGAGTGTTCAGCATTTCATCTATACTTATATTATTATAATACTTGTTATATATTATATATTATTATAATACACACTATTTTATTACCATTGTTGTTCTTCCTGTTCATGCTATTTTTGTATTTTATTTTATTGTGGTAAGAACACTTAACATGAGCTCCACCCTCTTTACACATTTTTAAGTGTAGAATACTTTATTATTGACTATAGGTACAATGTTGTATAGCAGATTACTAGAGCTTATTTATCTTGCTTGACTGAAATTTTATGCCCATTAATTAGCAATTCCCTATTTCCTCCTTCCCCCAGCCTCTGAAAATCACTATTTCACTCTTTGATTCCATGAATTTGACTATTTTAGATACCTTATGTAAGTGGAATCATGAAGTATCTCTCTTTCTGTGACTGGCTTATTTTAGTTAGAATAATGTCCTTAAGCTTTATCTATGTCGTCCATATTGTAGATTTTTCTTCTGTTTTGAGGCTGAATAATGTTTCACTGTCTATGTATCTTATATTTTCTTTATGCATTCACCCATCCACGGACATTTGGGTTGTCTCCATGTCTTGGCTATTGTGGATAGTGCTGCAATGAACCTCGGAGTGCTAATATACCTTTGCTCTCCTAATTTTACTTTTTTGGGATAAATACCCAGAAGTGACATTGCTGGATTATAGAATAGTTCTATATTTAATTTTTTGAGGAATTTCCTTAGCAGCTGCACCACTTTGCATTCCCACCAACAGTGTACAAGGGCTCCAATTTTTCCATATCTTTGCCAATACTTTTCTGTTTTTTTGTTGTTGTTGCTGTTGTTATACTAGTGATTCTGACAGGTGTGAAGTGAAATGGTGATTTGATTTGCATTTTCCTGATGATTAGTAATGTTTAACATTTTTCATGAACCTGCTGACTATTTTTCTGTCTGTTCTGGGGAAGCGTCTATAACTATATTGATTAGGGCTATATTGGGGCTGTTCTAAAAGAGGATGCTACTTTCAAGTGGAGTATGGAGTCAGAGAGGCATGGGGTAGGGGAATCGTGACTCCATCACCCAGTAAATACAGTTGCTTAGTATTACTTAGTACAAATTATTTAATCCCATTAAGGGCTAGTCTCTTTACCTACAAATTGGAGATAACAATTATACTTCCCTCTCCAGATTGTGGTACACTTAAAAGAGATGATATATACACAGTATTTAGCATAGTCTCTGGCATTTTGGGAGCACCAAAAATGTGAAATGCTATTATATTTCATAATTTTTTTTTTTTTTTTTTTTTTTTTTTTTTGAGACGGAGTCTCGCTCTGTCGCCCAGGCCGGACTGCGGACTGCAGTGGCGCAATCTCGGCTCACTGCAAGCTCCGCTTCCCGGGTTCACGCCATTCTCCTGCCTCAGCCTCCCGAGTAGCTGGGACTACAGGCGCCCGCCACCGCGCCCGGCTAATTTTTTGTATTTTTAGTAGAGACGGGGTTTCACCTTGTTAG
The DNA here is from genome assembly GCF_000001405.40 of Homo sapiens. Classification (NCBI taxonomy): domain Eukaryota; kingdom Metazoa; phylum Chordata; class Mammalia; order Primates; family Hominidae; genus Homo; species Homo sapiens. Next base: position 98,243,428 of record NC_000006.12, on the reverse strand, counting down.
CCAGGATGGTCTCGATCTCCTGACCTCATGATCCACCCGCCTCGGCCTCCCAAAGTGCTGGGATTACAGGCGTGAGCCACCGCGCCCGGCCTCATAATTATTTTAAAATTACAATATTTAAGCCTGACCCCAGGGGTTTATAATTTTAAATGATCAAAATTTATATTAAAAAACTCACAAATTCCTGGCACAGCAAAGATAAGAGATAACTAGGAAGCAATAATGCAGTAATTCATTTACATCATGTCAAAGATGACTGAAAATAAAACTTTATGGAAGAGTATATTTTTATAAAAGTCTTTGCTTCAGAGTTTTCTGATAAATATTCCTTTTGGCCTGAGATCTACATAGTTGATTTCTGCATAAAACTGAATATTTTTTGGAAGTTAGGGCTAAATTAGTTGGGTTATTTTTGCATGATGAAAGCGTGAAAACAAAACACCTTTTTTGCTAAAATATTATCTGGTCCTCGTTTCAGCCCAGAGGACTGAAAATACTATGAAATTAAAATTTCAAATGTGGGAAGGAAATTCTATAATATTTGTTAATTCTAGCCCCAAAATGTTCAAAGTTATTTTTGCTTCAAAATCTGGAACTGAACATGCACTTAACAATTTATTTCAATTCATACTGTTAAAAGTTTGCCCTGCCTATATGTGCACGTTTGGAGGTGTTTATGAGGTATTTCTCCTTTCTTTAGAGAAAGCTGAACAAACTGATAAAAAGAAAAAGTCAAAATAGTTGTCTCTTAACATTTTTAAGCTACGCAGTTGTAAAATTGTTAAGGAAATAAATTATGTACATTTTAAACTGTGACATCCTAACATTGTGTCATCAGTATTCAAGGTGAAGGTGTGCATGTTTGGTGACATTATTCAGAGAAAGAACGCAATGGCATGCCGTTATATAACACCCTTAAATAATTATCTGGCACCAAGTAGTTTTATTCTGAATTTCCTGAAGAACAATAGGATTATAAAGAGTTTTATACTTGTGGAATAAAGAATTAATGCTGCACTGATACTGGTTGAGAAATGTTACAGAAACTATGCCATCACCTTCCTGGGGATGAGGCATCAGCAGCAGTGTCCACTTGGATAATATTAGAGGAAAATGCACATCATATGGCTGCATGAGATGGGCACTGAGTAATTGTGCTAATGTGGTTTCACTTGCTCTACTTTTCTATTTCCTTATTTAAGTGTCTTACATTTTAGTAGAACATGAATTTAGCATACATCTTGCATTTGATTAGATCAAATTTTATGTTTTTTATGCATTTGAATCCAAGTTTGGCTCTGTGAACCTTACCATCTGTCTGGAGTTGTCATTGCATTTATATTTAATTTTAATTTACCCCATTATATTTTTGACTAAAAGTGGTTTTATTTTTGGCATCTTCCTTACCTAGTGTCTCCTCTCCCTCCCATCTATTTGCAACAATACCTCCAGAAAGGACCTTCTAAAGCATAAACCTGATCATATTATTCCCAATTGTATCACATTGTCTTTATAATAACTCCAAATTCTTTAACTATACTCATAAGATCCTGCATCATCCAGACCCTTCGAGTATTTCTTTGCAACTTCCTCTTATGTATGCTATGTTTCTGTATTCCTTCCAGTTCCTCTATCTGTGCTCTCTTTTGCCTCCAGGCCTCTGTACATGCTCTTCCCTTGCCTGTAACCATGTATCCTATATTCTGCCTCAATAAGTATCCTATAGACCCTTTTGTTATAGTGTACTTGTCATTTCTTCCAGGAGTCTTTATGGACAACCTTATCTCTTCCCCACAAAATGAGCTATATCCTCTCATTTGGCGAATGAAGTAAATTGCATAAAGTCATGCAGTGCTATGTGTCCTCTCTGCTAGACTGTAAGCTCCAGGAGGAAACACACCAGCTACCTTATTTATCATCGAATCCCCCAAATCTAGTCTAGAGCCTAGAAGATGATAGTGGATCAATAAGTATTTAATAAATGCCTGGATGAATGGATTTTTAAAACATATAAATTGCTATACATATATTATTTATCACTTCTATTTACAACATATAGCCGTAACTTAAATCAAAATTATATGTAGACTAAAATCTATTTTATTCTTCAGGTATAACTGTTAACTATAAACTGCTATATTTTGTGGGCTAATGGATGGTAAATGTAATAAAAATTATCTCAAATAGTAAGATATTCTCTGTAATTTGTTTAGACATTGTTATCTGAGTTTCAATTGTTTATGATAATGCTGCTTTGTATCAAAAATAGTTATTAATATTCAAAAGTAGATATTCCAATTAGAAGTCTACTATACTTAAATCTAGAATATTGCAGAACTTTAGGTTAGTGGCAAATATCTCATACAAATGACTCTGAGAATCAGGAAGTTTATAAAATACAATTCAGTGATTGCTAAATCCAAAATGAGAATTATAGTTCCAGTCATGGGTAAGGACTTTGGAGAACCTTTCTCTCTTTCTTTCTCCCTTCCTTCCTTCCTTCCTTCCTTCCCTCCCTCTTCTTTCTTTCTTTCTTTCTTTCTTTCTTTCTTTCTTTCTTTCTTTCTTTCTTTCTTTCTTTCTTTCTTTCATTCTGTCTCTCTCTCTCTCTTTCTTTCTTTCAACGGAGTCTCACCCTGTCACCCAGGCTGGATGCCATGGCACGATCTTGGCTCACTGCAACCTCTGCCTCCCAGGTTCAAGTGATTATCATGTCTCAGCCTCCCTAGTAGCCGGGATTAAAGGCATGTGCCACCACGCCAGGCCAATTTTTTGTAGAGGTGGGGTTTCACTATGTTGGCCAGGCTGGTCTTGAACTCCTGACCTCAGGTGACCCGCCTGCCTCGGCCTCCCAAAGCACTGGGATTACAGGCGTGAGCCACCGCGCAGGGCTGGAGAACCTTTCTATCCAACTTTGCTGACAAGTGTTGACAGCTGCCTGCTTTTCTTCCTGGTAGAACACAAAAATGTTGTTTAGTCATGGAACAAAAGAAAAATAACCATGAATCCTAGAGTCATCTGGGGAGTCTCATATTTAATAATATCACATTTGTAGGAATCATGTGGGGAACACTGATTCTCCTGGACAGCCTTGTTAATACCGTTATCATCACTGTGGTAGTCAGCAGTCCTACCATTCCTATGGGTTCTTAGTTTGCAGGATAATATACTAGGCATTAAGGAGTTCACATATTTAACAAATATTTACTCAGCACCTATTTTGTGATACATACTATGCTAAGAGTTGGGAATGCAGTGATGAATAAGAAAGAAAAATAAACAAGTAGATTACAGATTGAGGGGAAACTGAAGAGTGATGGTCAGGGAAGCACCAAAAGGGAGAGAGGTGGGCTGAAATTTAAGATAGCTGGTCAGGAAGTCCTCTTAGAGGAGGGGATTTTCAAGCTAAGAATGACAATAAGCAATCACGAAGAAACCGGATAAATACAATCAGAGAAAATGCTAAGTGTAGTTTCTGATGTGGAAAAGGGTATTTGAAGATAAGAAAGAAGGCTAATGTGATGAGAGAATAATAGTGTGCAAGGAAAACAAGGGCTTGAGATCAAGTTGGAGATGTACTCAGATAACATAACACTTTTAAGTGTTTAAATTTTTCTTCTAAAAGTGAAGGAAGCTCTCGAAAGTTTTTATGCAAGGAATCAACATAATCAGATTTACGTTTATAAAACTTTATCCTGGCTGCTGTATGGAAAATGGATGGTAGAGGAGCAAGAGTGGAAGCTGAGAGGCCATAGAGGAAGTTGTTGCTGTAGTCCTGGTGTGAAATATGGCAGCAGAGATGATCAAATATATCTTTTGGAGACAGAATTGATAGAGTTTGTTAAAAGATTGGTGGTGAGGGGTGAAGCAAAGAGAAGAATCAAGGATGAGTCTCAGATGGTGTCATTTAAGCAACATGGCAAAGAGTGGTCTCTTTTATTGCAATGAGAAAGAGCTACAGGTTTGGGATGAAGGAGTTCAACAGCTCCATGTTGGACATATGACATTTAAAGATAAGCACATCTGAAGTCACTTGCTGATTCAAAGACAGTCATACCACATGGGAGAAACATGATAGATGAAAAAAATCAGGGAATCAGGTAATGAGAGCTTTGTGCTTCCAAGTGAAAGACAAGTTACTTACCCACTGGTAAGGGATGTGTGCTCTGGATCATTTGTCACGTGATGGTGACGGATTTACATCCAGACTCCCTCAAGAACAAAATCTGTATTCATAAGGCAAGAATCAGGGACTTGGAGTGCTGTTGTTTTTGTAACATTTCAAGTACTGGCTGAGGAGTCCCTCTAAGGTCTCACCCTCTAAGTCATTAGTGAAACCTGATCCGAAATTCCCTTACTTATTTGCCTCTTTAAGAATTAAATCATTTTTCTTTCAGTGCTTTTCCAGAAAAAAAAATTATCTATTGCCTTTTAAAAATCATAGAGTTTTAGGAATATGTTTTTAAAAGAGCATCTGGTTTATTTCTCACTGAAAGCTGGTGCGAAGAAATGAGAAACATGGATCAAGTCAGCACCAAACAGAGACTGTGAATAATTTGCTTAATGATTGGAAAAATATATACATTATTCAAATTGTGTGTCACCATTATTTGTTATTAAAAAACCATGGTGTGCATTCAAGGACAAAATTTGGAAGATTTACCCCACCCCAGTATTTTATTTCTTACATAGAAATTTTTCATAATAAGAAAGTCAATGTTGTGAGAAAGTACCTTTTTTGAACTATTAATTTATGTTTTCACTTAGGTTTTCCCCTTTCTTCTTCTGCTATTATCCATAACACAGACCCTGTACTTACTACTTCAGGGTTGGATGAAAGCAGAATTTGCCTGCAAACAATTTTCTCCTGAGTTCGCTTTTAATTTCAAAAGCTTAAATAAGTTTTCATAAATATCCTGAAGAGACATTAGGGTTGGAAGACAGAGAGAGAGAACTTAGGCCCTATTCCAGCAATACATGACAGGGAGTTGAAAAGACCTTTAGGAGAATAAGTGAATGTAGCATCTGTGGGACACAACATTTGATATATATTTATTAAATTGATTTTTTATTACTTATAGTACTCTGATTCCCTATACTCATAATTATTTCCCACTCCATATTATAGAATTTTACTTCATTGACAATAGCATGCCATCATAAATGAATGACACCTTCACAGGATATAAATGATTTCTATACATTCTTTTATATCTTAAAACTCTAAAGATATTACTCTATTGTCTCTTAGCATCTAATGTTATGAACAGGTCTGCTAGAGGCCAGACTTTTGTTCCCCTTATAATATTTATACATATCATATTTTCCTGCCTGATTATTTTCTCACTTCCTTCTTTATCCTTGAAGTTATTGACATTCAACAGAGTGTGTTTAAATACTGGTACTTTCTAGTCCTGCAGGATAATCCTACTTCCTATGCCTATTTTGCCAAAGACCATTACTTTTAAAGTAACTTTTTTTGTGTCATCACTTCCACAATCATAGGCCTGTTCTCAGGCAACTGCTTAATAAATATATGGATAGTTACAAACTTAAGATAGCTGGACTTACAATTTTTCAATTTTACTGTCATACAAAAGTGATACACGTTCAGTAGAAATTGCACGTTGAATACACGTAGAACTATTCTGTTTTTTACTGTCAGTACTGTATTCAATTCAGCACTGTATTTAATAAATTACATGAGATATTCAATTATTATAAAATAGGCTTTGTGTTAGATGTCCAACTTTAGGCTAATGTAAGTGTTCTGAGCACATTTAAGGTAGGCTAGGCTAAGCAGTGATGTTTGGTAGGTTAGGTATTTTAAATGAATTTTCAGCTTAAGATATTTTCCATTTATGATGGGTTTATTGGGACATAACCTCACTGTAACTTGAGGAGGAGCATCTATAACTATTTGGGTTTCTTCCTGTTCCAGGAGCCAGTGTTTTCCAATGCTCTACTTTCTTTGACTGCTCTACTTCATGAACATCAATTAATATAAGCTTTCTTTATTGGCCTTGACAACACAACTTCCTCGTGCTAGTGGTAACCAAGAAACACTAAGCATACCATCATAAACAGTGGCCACTTGTCTTTTATGGACCTTTGTCTCTTTTAAGTCATCATAATAGAGACTATTAGCTCAAGTCAGCTTGGTGGCAGCCTGGGAACCAATGAAGTTTCTTCTCTTCCTAGCAGGAGGCTATAGTTATAAGAAAAGAATAACATCAGGAGTGCCATCTCCAGATATTCATTTTATATTTGTTAAATGAATAAATGAGTGGGTAATTTAATGAATGAATGAATGAACCTAGCCCGCCTCAAACGTCCTCACAATAGATAATCTTTAAAATTTCTTTCAGTTGTGAGATTCTATAACATAATTCTCTCCTTACTTAAAGAAATAGGCTATGCATTTTGATTGACCTGCCAGTGGGATAGGCCAGTGCATATGCTTATGCCTTCTCCATTCAAGCCAATTTTATTGTTGAGTTTCATTCAGCCTTTAAATAAGCTCATTAGAGAGAGTCTGTTCCTGAAGGACTCAAAACTGTCTGAACTAGCTTCCTTAAATATCCAAGCTTTTATTTATCATCTCTGAGACCTAGGAGCCCACATTGTTCCCTGTTAGTAGTAAAAGCCCAGGGTTTCTATGTATTTTTAACTAACATTGTCTAATTCTCTCTTTTGTGGACATGACAGTTCTTAGTGTTTCTTCTGTTAACTCCTAAATCCTAAAGAACTTCACATGTGAGGTTTCTCTTGTATTGGAAGACTATCCAAACTATAATTTAGATCCCTCAGGACTGAGTAGGGCCAGTTTGTCCTGTGTAACTTGGTTTGGAAGTCTTCAATGCTTTGAGACTCCAAACTGTGCCCCCCGATACCTCAGAACTGAATAGGCCAAGCTTGTCCTCTGTAACCTGGTGTGAAAGACTGCACTGATCTGTCCATTTGCTGCTAGACTCCTTTATTCTAATATTCCAGGAGTTTCCCATCATACACTTCTCCAACCACCAAGGGAAGGGCACAGATGGCAGATGCAGAACCTCAGACATGGGTGAGAACACTCTCCCTGTCTACCACTTCACAATGGAACAACATTTGTTTTCTTAGCGGTGTCTGACTTTTACTAAGGACTTCAAACTATTCCTGGGAATATTAGAATATGAGGTAACTACCGTAGAGGGTAGTCTTAACTCTAAAGGTAGAAGCTATGCTTGTCACAATCTCCCTCAAGTTTGAGGATGTTCGCATCTAAAAGTATGATGGAGCAACATAAAACAAACTAGAAATGGGGGCTAGGCAAAGGCAGTCCTTCCTCTCTTGATATGTATTTCCCTAACACTAGACCCTATGGATTACAAAACCGGGTCATAACAGATGACTTCCAAGGTCCTTCCAATAGAGAATTATTTAGGCACAGAGTAACCCTGATATGGTTTGGCTCTGTGTCCTGACCCAAATCTCATGTTGAATTGTAATCCCCACATGTCAAGGGAGGGAATTGGTCATAAGTGATCGGATCATGGGGGCTGTTTCTCCCACGCTGCTCCCATGATAGTGAGAAAGTTGAGTTCTGGTTTTTTTGATAAGTGTCTGGCCCTTTCCCTGTGTGCTCTCTCTCTGCTGCCTTGTGAAGACATACCTTGCTTCCCCTTCACCTTCTGCCATGAAAGTAAGTTTCCCGAGGCCTCCCCCACCATGTGCATCAGTCAGTCAATTAAACCTCTTTTCTCAGAGGAAGTCAAATTGTCCCTGTTTGCAGATGACATGATTGTATATTTAGAAAACCCCATTGTCTCAGCCCAAAATCTCCTTAAGCTGATAAGCAACTTCAGCAAAGTCTCAGGATACAAAATAAATGTGCAAAAATCACAAGCATTCCTATACACCAATAACAGACAAACAGAGAGCCAAATCATGAGTGAACTCCCATTCACAATAGCTACTAAGAGAATAAAATACTTAGGAATCCAACTTATGAGGGATGTGAAGGACCTATTCAAGGAGAACTACAAATCACTGCTCAATGAAATAAAAGAGGACACAAATAAATGAAAGAACATTCCATGCTCATGGATAGTCAATGTGAAAATGGCCATACTGCCCAAGGTAATTTATAGATTCAATGCCATCCCCATCAAGCTACCAATGACTTTCTTCACAAAGTTGGAAAAAAACTACTTTAAAGTTCATATGGAACCAAAAAAGAGCCCGCATAGCCAAGACAATCCTAAGCAGAAAGAGCAAAGCTGGAGGCATTCTGCTACCTGACTTCAAACTATACTACAAGGCTACAGTAACCAAAACAGCATGGTACTGGTACCAAAACAGATATATAGACCAATGGAACAGAACAGAGGCCACAGAAATAACACCACACATCTACACCATCTGATCTTTGACAAACCTGACAAAAACAAGAAATGGGCAAAGGATTCCCTATTTAATAAATGGTGCTGGGAAAACTGGCTACCCATATGTAGAAATCTGAAACTGGATCCATTCCTTACACCTTATATAAAAACTAATTCAAGATGGATTCGAGACTTAAATGTAAGACCTAAAACCATAAAAACCCTAGAAGAAAACCAAAGCAATACCATTCAGAACAAAGGCATGGGCAAAGACTTCATGACTAAAACACCAAAAGCAATGGCAACAAAAGCCAAAATAGACAAATGGGATCTAATTAAACTAAAGAGCTTCAGCACAGCAAAAGAAACAACAGGCAATCTACAGAATGAGAGAAAATTTTCACAATCTACCCATCTGACAAAGGGCTAATATCCAGAATCTACAAAGAACTTAAACAAATTTACAAGAAAAAAACAAACAACCCCATCAAAAAGTGAGAAAAGGATATGAACAGACACTCTCAAAAGAAGACATTTATGCAGCCAACAAACACATGAAAAAATGCTCATCATCACTGGTCATCAGAGAAATGCAAATCAAAACCATAATGAGATACCATCTCACACCAGTTAGAATGGTGATCCTTAAAAAGTCAGGAAAAAACAGATGCTGGAGAGGATGTGGAGAAATAGGAACACTTTTACACTGTTGGTGGGAGTGTAAATTAGTTCAACCATTGTGGAAGACAGTGTGGCGATTCTTCAAGGATCTAGAACTAGAAATATCATTTGACCCAGCAATCCCACTACTGGGTATATACCCAAAGGATTATAAATCATGCTACTCTAAAGACACATGCACACGTATGTTTATTGTGGCAATATTCACAATAGCAAAGACTTGGAATGAACCCAAATGTCCATCAGTGATAGACTGGATTAAGAAAATGTGGCACATATACACCATGGAATACTATGCAGCCATAAAAAAGGACGAGTTCATGTCCTTTGGAGGGACATGAATGAAGCTGGAAACCATCATTCTTAGCAAACTATCACAAGGACAGAAAACCACACACCATATGTTCTCACTTATAGGTGGGAATTGAACAATGAGAACACTTGGACACAGGGCAGGATCAGCACACACTGGGGCCTGTTGGGGTGTAGAGGGCTGGGGAAGGGATAGTATTGGGAGAAATACCTAATGTAAATGACGAGTTGATGGGTGCAGCAAACCAATATGGCACATGTATACCTGTGTAACAAACCTGCAGGTTTTGCACATGTACCCTAGAACTTAAAGTATAATAATAATAATAATAAAATACAAAACCTCTTTTCTTTATAAATTACCCAGTCTCAGGTAGTATATTTCCGGCAGTATGAAAACAGGCTGATACACATAACTGGTACCAGAAGTGGGGTAATGCTATAAAGATAACCGGAAAATGTGGAAGTGACTTTTTAACTGGGTAACAGGCAGAGGTTGGAACAGAAGAAGACAGGAAGATGTGGGAAAGTTTGGAACTTCCTAGAGACTTGCTGGATAATTTTAACCAAAATGCTGACAGTGATATGGACAATGAAGTCCAAGCTGAGATGGCTTCAGATGGAGATGAGGAACTTATTGGGAACGGGAGTAAAGGTCACTCATGCTATGCTTTAACAAAGAGACTGGCAGCATTTTGCCCTTGCCCTAGAGATCTGTGAAACACTGAACTTGAAAGAGATGATTTAGGGTATCTGGTGGAAGGAATTTCTAAGCAGCAAAGCATTCAAGAGGTGGCCTGCCTTATTCTGAAAGCACTTAGTTATATGCATTCACAAAGAGATGGTTTGAAATTGGAACTTGTGTCTAAAAGGGAAGTAGATCATAATGGTTTGGAAAATTTGCCACCTGACCATGTGGTAGATAACAAAAACCAATTTTCTTGGGAAAATTCAAGTCAGCTGGAGAAATTTGCATGAGTACCAAGGAACTGAATGTTAATACCCAAGACAATGGGGAAAATGTCTCCAGGACATGTCAGAAACCTGCATGGTAGTCCTGCTCATCATAGGCCCAGAGGCCCGGGAGGAAAAATTGCTTTATGAGCTGGGCCCAGAGCCCTGTTGCTCAGTGCAGCTTTGGGACTTGGTGCCCTGTGTCACAGCAACTCCAGCTCCACCCATGCCTAAAAGGGGCCAAGTACAGCTCAGGCTGTTGCTTCAGAGGGTGCAGGCTCCAAGCCTTGGTGGCTTCCATGTGGTGTTGGGCCTGTGGTACGCAGAAGACAAGAGTTGAGCTTTGGGACGGTTTGCCAATTTCAGAGAATGTATGGAAACACCTGGATGTCCAGGCAGAAGTCTGTTGCAGGGGTAGGGCCCTCATAGAGAACCTCTGCTAGGTCAGTGCAGAAGGGAAATGTGGGGTTGGAGCCCACACACATATTCCTCACTGAGGCTCTGCCTAGTGGAGCTGTGAGAGAGGGCCACCATCCTCCAGAGCCCAGAAAGGGAGATCCATCGATAGCTTGCATCATGCACCTGGAAAAACCATAGGCATTCAACAACAGCCTGTGAAAGCAGTTCAGGGGTTGTATTCTGCAAAGCCACAGGGGAGGAGCTGCTCAAGGCCATGGGAGCCCACCCCATGCATCAACATTCCCTGGATGTAAAACATAGAGTAAAAGGAGATCATTTTGGGTCTTTGAAATTTAATGACTGCCCTCCTGGGTTTTGGAGTTGCATGGAGCCTGTGACTCCTTTGTTTTGGCCAGTTTCTTTCATTTGGAATGGGAACATTTACCCAATGCCTGTACCCCCATTGTATATTGAAAGTAACTAACTTGCTTTTGATTTTACAGGCTCATAGGCAGAGGACTTGCTTTGTCTCAGATGAGACTTTGCACTTGGACTTTGAGTTAATGCTGGAATGAATTAAGACTTTGGGGGACTGTTGGAAAGACATGATTGGTTTTGAAATATGAAAAGAACATGATATTTGGGATGGGCCAGGGGTGAAATGATGTGGTTTGGCTCTGTGTTCTCACCCAAATTTCATCATCAATTGTAATTCCCATGTGTCAAGGGAGGGTCCTGGTGGGAGGTGATTGGCTCATGGGATAGTTTCTGCCATGCTGTTCTCATGACAGTGAGGAAGTTCTCTGGAGATCTGGTTGTTTGATAAGTGTCTGGCCCTTTCCCCTGAGCTTCCTCTCTCTCCTGCCACCTTGTAAACACATGCCTTGCTTCCCCTTGCCTTCTGCCATGATTGTAAGTTTCCTGAGGCCTCCCCAGCCATGTGGAACAGAGTCAATTAAACTTCTTTTTTTATATAAATGACCCGGTTTCAGGTAGTATTTTTATAGCAGTGTAAGAATGGACTGATACAGAGAATTGAGCTCCAAAATCTCCTAACACATCACTTCAGAGGAAACTGCAATCACATAAGCTACACTAAAGGCATGGAAAACACAATATTGTTCTAGTGGTTCTTTCCAAGAAGAAGCAAATCAGGGAAAACTTCTCATTTGCCAAAAGAATAAAAAATCCCGAGACTTATGGTGTAATAAGACTTTAACTCATCAGTTTTATACTGCAGATTTAGTGGTTAGTCCCATCTGAAAGTTGCTGGGTCAAGCACATTAATATCTGGCCAGCTGCTTATATTCTATGTTGGAGGATTTTTCTTTATTAAATAACATGTATCTTCCATACACAATCAAAATTATGTAAGATGCCTCATAACTCCTTTTTTTCTCCATTCTTTTTCTGACTGTTGTCCTAAAGGAAAGAGAGGGAGAATTACATTTCCCTTGTGGGATGAACCCCCAGGCCACTTCTGTAGCACTATCTATATGGAGAGAAGTGAAGGAAGAGCAACACAAGGAAGGAAGAGCAACACAAAATATTTTTTTTAACTGGAGGAGCCAAGATATTGAGATACCATAAGGAATATGGCATCTCAAACATTTCTCTACAGAAATGTTTACCCCTTTCCAAACAGAAGCTTCTTTGTTTAGCACATTGGCTTACATGTGCTTTTGGAATTCATTTTTTCCTCTACTCACATGAGTTTCTCCTCCTTCTAGGAAGTGGATTAAGGGAGAGAGGAAATTGCAGTAGTTCCCATATTTATCTGTGCATTGGAATCACCCAGGGAACTTAAAAACTACTAATGAATGTTTCTTCTCCCCTCACCCACAGATATTGTGTGATTTACTTACTCTGAGGTATAAGTTGAGTTTTGGAATTTTAAAGTCTTGAAGTAATGTAAATGTACAAACAACAATGGAAATAACTGGCATAGTGGTATCTAACCAGGGATCTGGACACATCAAAATCACCTGGGAGGGTAAAAAAAATACATATGCTTTAGTATATTTCTCAGATATCCTGAGTTAGAACCTCCTGGTGAAGATTTTGAGCTTCCAAGTGATTTCTGTGCACACTGTTCAGGAACTGCTGGCAGACAGTAGTGATTATGGGTAACAGCAGTCTTCATTAGCATGGCTATTACCTGAATAAATCGACTGTAACAAATGCCTGGAGCACCTTCTTTCATTCTCTCTAGGAATCCATGCCTCACACTCCCTTTTACAATTTGGACTGAACATAATTCATTGCCTAAATGCTTTCATTTAAAACTCCCAGCCACCTGACTGTTTTCTACTCTGCATTCCCCCAGGACATACATCCTCTTTTGGTAGTTTTGCACTGCCTACTTCTTGCAATGCTTTCTGTGCATATGCTGGTGCTCTAGCTTAATTGAAAGCTTCCCAAGGGCAAAAATTCAATGTGTATTTAGTTTGGATTTCACATTACCCTACCTCTATTGTCCACTAGAATGTTCTCAGTGTTACATGGCACAATACAGACATCATACATGTAGAGAAAGATAAGTGAGTTCAAAGAGTATAAACGTAACTGAAAAGCAAAATGAAAAAGTATATTCATTTGTACATAATAATGAATAAAATATTAAATGGATAAGTCATCTTGTGACTGGCAAACATTTAATATTTTTGAGTCTCTGAGTCTACATTGTGCTTTGTATTTTATAAAGAACTTTCAAAATACTTATGTGATTGATACTATAACCCTACAAAGAGAACAAGGCCATTTTGTAGATGTGTAAAGATGAGGCCCAGAGAGGAGGCAATTTACCCAGAACCTACCTGGTGGCTGGCAGACCAGGTGTAAAACTCAGTCCTCCTGACTTTCAGTCCAGGTCATACTTTGCCATTCCCATGACCTCAACCAACCTCCAGTCACCACTAATTTTCACATATATGTCTTTGGTTCTTATCATTCTCCTAAGATCTACACTTCTAATTACATTGAAAATAATTATATGTGCATATTCTATATGTTCTATAACATATCAAACTCATTAGGCCTCAGAGGGAACCCATATTGTTGATCCTGTCCAAATTCTTTCCTCCCAATCCTATGTTTCTATTTCCCATTTAAAAATGTTGCCATTTTTTCTCATTTCCCATTTCTCCCTTCCATTCACTTTTCTTATCATTTGCAAAGCCCTGTCAATTCAGTTTCAACAATGTCTTCCTTCTATTTCTGTCTTCCCTTTTCCATGCCCACTGTTATTTTCCCATACAGGCACAACTGCGGTAGTCTTTTGAGTAATTCTCCACACTCAATTTATTAACTCTTCAATTCTCACTTCTCTTTGCCTCTGAAATCTCACTTTTAAACTGTGTATTTAGTCATCACATTCCCTATTCAATGATTTTTCACTTCTTAAATAAAAATCCAATAAGCTTTTGAGATCATTCATAGTCTTTCCATAAGCTATCTTTCTAACATTAGCTCTTCATAAATTTCATATTCCAGCCACTCGGATCTGTTCACTGTTCCCTAAACAAGTAGATATGCTGACTTCCATGCCTTTCTACACTTTCATGAGTTTGTGCTCCCAGCCCAAACCTCTTGCCCACCTGCATTCACACCTTTTTTTCAGAAGAGAAGGTTTATTGGCAAAAACCTACTCTTAAAGCCCAGTGAAAATATACTTCTCTTTAGCTAATTTCCATCTCCAGCTTCATTTGTAGCTCATAACATCTACATGAACCCTTTATTTTTTTTACTATGGTAGAAGACACATAAAACAAAATTTACCATTATAACCATTTGTAAGTATACAGTTCAGTGGTATTACAGAAATTCACAATATTGTACAGCTATTACCACCATCCATCCATAACTCTTCATCTTGTAAAACTGAAACTCTACATCCACTAAGCAATAACTCCCCGTTCCTCCCTCCCCTCACCCCCTTGCTATCATTATGCTATTTTTTGTCTTGATTACTGTGATGACTCTAAGTATCACTTATGAGTGGAATCATACTGTATTTGTCTCTTTGTCACTAGTTTATATTATTAGCACAATGTCCTCAAGATTCACAGATGTTGTGTATTGCAGAATTTTCCTTTCTTAAGATTTAATAATATTTCGTTGTATGTATATAACACATTTTGCTTATTCATTCATTTGTTAGGGACAATTAGGTTGTTTTAGCTATTGTGAATAATGCTGCTGTGAATATGGTTGAACAGTATTTTTTCAAATACTCTGCTTTCAATTTTGGGGGGCATATACCCAGAAGTGGAACTGCTGGATTATACAGTAATTCTATTTTTAACTTTTTGAGGAAAAGTCATACTGTTCCCACAGCAGCCATACCATTTATATTCCCACTGACAGGGCATAAGGATTCTAATTTCTCCAAATTATTGTCAATGCTTGTTATTGTCTGTATTTTTTTAGCCATACAAATGAGTATGACGTGGTATCTAACTTTATTATTGATTTGCATTCTGCTAATAAGTGGTGATATTGAGCATTTTTTCATGTGTTTACCTGCCATTTGTATATATTCTTTGGAGAAATGTCTATTCAAGCCCTTTGCCCATTTTTGAATTGGATTGTTTTCTTTTTTGTTGTTGAGTTTTAGGGGTTCTTTATATATTCTGGATATCAAAGGCCTAAATGTTAGACCAAAAACTATTAGATTTTTAAAAGAAAACAGAGAAAATATTTTATAACATTTGCTTGGGCAGTGACTTTTTGAATACGATACTAAAGGCACAGGCAACAAAAGAAAAAAATAGACAAATTGGGATTCATGAAAATTTTAAAATTTTGCGCATCAAAAAAGATGCTATCAACAGCGTAAGAAGGCAACCCATAAAATGTAAAAAAATACAAATCATATATTTGATAAATGATTGAAATATGCTTTTTTGGTTAACTTCTTGAGACAGGATGGGTCAAAAATATTTGCACAAACTCATTTTTCTTTTTTAATTATCCAACAACCAAGACAATCTTGAACATATATAAAGGCTAAAAAATTTCTGCGTTGAATTATATAAAGAGTCAAGTGTCCCATAGTAAGTGAGAATAGTGACTTTTAAGCTTTTAAATTCAATATTAAATAACTGTTTCCAAATTTATAATGGAGTCACTTATTAAAAATATTCCTCTATTGAAAATATTTCTGGGTCTTCTATATTTTACTTAGTGTAAGAAATCTGCATATCACACATGCCAGACAGTTTCTAACTCCCTCTCCTTGCTCATCTGCCTTGGAAACACATCTATTGCCTTCATTAAGATTATACCTGAGTCAAGTCTTAATCAATGTGAGGGGCTGAAAACAGTCGAAATATGTAGAATTCTTTATCTTCAGTTTTAATTTTGCTTTTCTATTAAAAATACCTGTTTTTCTAATTAGATATAAATCAGCCCCACAATTTAGACACTTGTAGCTTAGCTGAAAAACTGTAAATCAGGATTAAGTATTTTGAGATAGTTTTAATTTAAAAGTCAATATTAATACCATTGCTGAAAAGTACCTTGTTTTATTTGCAATTTGGTTTTACTGGAAGAAAAAAAATTCCTTTCATCTTCCTGGGAATTCTATTTTTGTCAAAACTTAGCTGTCATAATAAGGGGAAATAATAGAAATGGTAATATTTCATAAGCTAATATGAAGTTAGTTTGATAAAGTGCTGTTTTAAACCTGTTCACAACTACAGACTTACTATACAGAATTTAGCTGGACAGGCTGGGTGCGGTGGCTCATGCCTGTAATCCCAGCACTGTGGGAGGCCCAGGCAGGTGGATCACCTGAGGTCAGGAGTTCAAGACCAGCCTGGCCAACATGGTGAAACCCTGTCTCTACTAAAAATACAAAAATTAGCCAGACATGGTTGTGCACGCCTGTAATACCAGCTACTTGGGAGGCTGAGGCAGGAGAATTTCTTGAACCCTGGAGGTGGAAGCTGCAGTGAGCTGAGATCATGCCACTGCACTCCAGCCTGGGCGACAAAGTGAGATTCCATCTCAAAAAAAAAAAAAAAAAAGAATTTAGCTGGACAGTAAATGGGAAATAAAATAATGAACTCGTCAAATATCAACAGAACTTAAAACAGTTCAACATTTTGTTTTCAATTGGGCAAGTTTCTGTTATTCATCTGTCTGTGATATGCAGGTTATAAAATCAACCTTGGTTTAGTACAAGATCTTGAAATATATCAAACCCTCTCCTCATTTGAGATATATGCTTCACTTTCAGCTTTAGAAAATTCTGTCATTATTGTTTTCTGATATCACTGGAAAGTATTGGAGGTATAGCTAGAATTGCTATACATTGACACCACCACCAACAACAATAATAAACACCTAATGGGGTCATGGCTTTTAATTCTTTTCAGCAGAACACTTTGTTCTTCTGAAAAAGAAATGGCAAAAGCCAAATGTTACTGAATGTAAAAGGAAAAACAGTAACATTCTTGTTGGAAGTTTGAATGGAACAAAGACTGGGCATTTAACCACACAGATGTATGCCAAAAATTAATTCTTTTGAAATATTTTATTATGCCAAACATCAATTCTCCTGAGAATTTTTGTGGAATCAGCAACTTAGGCCTATATTACATATTAGCAACAAGATTATTTAATTTTATCATAAGAATATTCAAACAAATTTATTTTTGGCATCTAATATACAAACCAGTATGTTTGAAATGAGTGGAATATTTTCACTGCCAACCAGTTTATCAATAGTGAAGGGAGAACATCATTTGGCTAGTTACTTTGACCTGAGGCCATGGCGTTTCTCAGGCAAATATTGGAAATATCACAATTCCCCATTTTTCAGTTTCTTTATCTTTCCCCACTGAAAATACATTAAAAAGAAAGAGAAGATTGATGCAGAGTAAAGAAACTGGAGTCATAGTTATCACATGTCACTCTTTAGGAATCCAAAAATAGTGAATGCAGGGTTTTCCATATGACCATGAATGAAAAAAATATATTTTTGTCTTTGGAATTCTATCAATGTCAGTCCCATGAATATCGTTGCCAAGATGAGTGGCTTTTTTTACATTTCATTTCTCCATCATGTGAAAAGATTATTTTTAAATAAGCAAGTGGTCCAAATTTTTCAAAGTGGTATGATTCCCCAATAGATTACATGAATCATTGCTATTGAATTATATAACAAAGTATAAGTTTTTTTTTTTTTTTTGAGATGGAGTCTCACTCTGTTGCCCAGGCTGGAGTGCAGTGGCACCATCCTGGCTCACTGCCACCTCTGCCTCCCGGGTTCCAGCGATGCTCCTGCCTCAGCCTCCCAAGTAGCTGGGATTACAGGCATCTGCCACCACGCCTGGCAAATTTTTGTATTTTTAGTAGAGACAGGTTTCACCATGTTGGCCAGCCTGGTCTGAAACTCCTGACCTCAAGTGATCCTCCCGCCCCAGCCTCTCAAAGTGCTGGGATTACAGGTGTTAGCCACTGCACCTGGGCTACTCTAAGATGTGGTATACTCTTACAGTTGTCTTACAAATATTTTATTATTTTTTTTATAATTTCAACTTTTAGTTTAGATTGAGGGGGTACATGTGCAGATTGGTTACCTGGGTATATTATGTGATGCAGAGGTTTGGGGTACAGATGATCCCGTCACACGGGTAATGAGCACAGTACCCAACAGGTGATTTTGCAGCCTACTGCCTCCTCTAATAGTCTCCAGTATCTATTCTTCCCATCTGTATGTCCATGTGTACACAATGTTTAGCTCCCATTTACAGGTGAAAACATGCAGTATTTGGTTTTCTGTTCCTGTGTTAATTCACTCAGGATAATTGCCTCTAGCTACATTCATTTTGCTGCTAAGGACAAAATATCATTCTACTTTATGGTAGTGTAGTATTCCATGGTGTATATTTACCACACTTTCTTTATCCAGTCCACCACTGATGAGTAACTAGGTTGATCCCAAAACTCTGCTATTGTGAATTGCAGTGTAATGAACGTATGAGTGCATGTGACTTTTTGGTAAAATGATGTATTTCCCTTTGGATATATATCAAGTAATAGGATTGCTGGGTCAAATGCTAACTCAGTTTTAAGTTCCTAGAGAAATCTCCAACATCTTTCCATAGTGGCTGAACTAACTTGTACTCCTATCAACAGTTATAAGCATTCCCTTTCTCCACAGCCTTGCCAACATCTACTGTTTTTTGACTTTTTTTTTTTTTTTTGAGACGGAGTCTCGCTCTGTCACCCAGGCTGGAGTGCAGTGGCGCGATCTCGGCTCACTGCAAGCTCCGCCTCCCGGGTTCACGCCATTCTCCTGCCTCAGCCTCCCGAGTAGCTGGGACTACAGGCGCCCGCTACCACGCCCGGCTAATTTTTTGTATTTTTAGTAGAGACGGGGTTTCACCGTGTTAGCCAGGATGGTCTCGATCTCCTGACCTCGTGATCTGCCTGCCTCGGCCTCCCAAAGTGCTGGGATTACAGGCGTGAGCCACCGCGCCCGGCCCTTGACTTTTTAATAATAGCCATTCTGACTGGTGTGAGATGGTATCTTATTGTGGATTTTATTTGCATTTCTCTGATGATTGGTGATAATGAGCACTTTTTCATGTTGGCCACTTGTATGTCTTCTTTGAGAAGTATCTGTTCATGTCTTTTATCCATTTTTATGGAGTTATTGTTTTTTGCTTGTTTATTTAATTTCCTTATAGATTCAAGATATTAGATCTTTGTTGATGCATAGTTTGTGAATATTTTCTCCTATTCTGTAGATTGCCTGTTTACTCTGTTGATAGTGTGCAGAAGCTCTTTAGTTTAATTAGGTCCCACTTGTCAATTTTTGGATTTTGTTGCCATTGCTTTGGAGAATTTAATTCTTTCCCAAGGCCAATATATGGAATGGTGTTTCCTAGGTGTTTTTCTAGGATTCCTATAGTCTAAGGTCTTGTATTTATGTCTTTAATGCACCTTAAGTTAATTTTTGTATGTGGTGAAAGATAGGGATCCAGTTTCATTCTTCTGCATATGGCTAGGTAGGTATCCCAGCACCATTTATTGTATAGAGAATCCTTTACTCATTGCTTATTTTTGTCAACTTTGTTGAAGATAGGTGTGTGGCTTTATTTTTGGGTTATCTATTCTGTTCCATTGATGTATGTGTCTGTTTTTGTACCAGTACCATGCTGTTTTGATGACTGTAGCCATATAGTGTAGTTTGAAGTTGAATAATGTGATGCCTCTGGCTTTGTTTTTTTTTCTTTGGATTGCTTTAGCTATTCAGGCTCTTTTTTGGTTCCACATGAATTTTAGAATAGGTTTTTTCTAATTCTGTGACAAATGATGTTTATAATTTGATAGGAATAGCACTGAATTTTTAGATTGCTTTGGGCAGTATGGCCATTTTAATGATATCAATTCTTCCAGTTCATGAGCATGGAAAGTTTTTCCACTTGTGTTATATATGACTTCTTTTAGCACTGTTTTGTAGCTCTTGTAGAGGTCTTTTACCTTCTTGATTAGATGTATTCCTAGGCATTTTCTTTTTTCTGTGGCTACTGTAAATGAGATTACATTCTTGATTTGGCTCTCAGATTGTACTTTATCGGTGTATAGAAATGCTACTGATTTTTGTACATTGATTTTCTATCCTGAAATTTTGCTGAAGTAGTTTATCAGGTCTAGGAGGTTTCTGTCAGAGTCTTTAGAGTTTTCTGGGTAAGGAATCATATCATCTGTCAACAGTGATAATTTGGTTTCTTCTTATCTTAACTGGATACCTTTTATTTCTTTTTCTTGGCTGATTGCTTTGGTTAGGACTTCCAGTACTATGTTGAATAGGAGTGTTGAGAATGTGCATCCTGGTCTTGTTCCACTTTTCAAGGGGAATGCTTCCAGCTTTTGTATGTGTAGTATGATATTGGCTGTGGGTTTGTCATAGATGACTCATTATTTTGAGGTATGTTCCTTTGATGTCTAGATTATTGAAGGCTTTTATCAGGAGGGAACATTGGATTTTAAGAAAAGCTTATTTGTGTCTATTGCACTGATTATATGGTTTTTGTTTTTATTCCTGTTTATGTGCTAAGTCATATTTATTGATTTCCATATGTTGAACCAAATTTTCATCCCAGGAATGGACCCTACTTGTTCATAGTGATTTAACTTTTTGATGAGATACTAGATTTAGTTTGCTAGTATTGTGTTGAGAATATTTCCATCTGTCTTCATCAAGGACATTGGCCTACGGTTTTCTTTTTCATTGTGTTTTTGTCACATGTTGGTATCAGGGTAATACTGGCTTCACTTAATGAGTTAGGGAGGATTTCCTCCTTGAGTTTTTGGAATCACTTCTGTAGAATTGGTACTAGCTCTTCTTTGTGCATCTGGTAGAATTCAGCTGTGAATCCATCTGGTCAGGGGCTTTTTTTGGTTGGTAGGTTTTTTTTTTATTACTGATTCAATTTTGGAACAAGATATTAGTCTGTTCAGGGTTTCAATTTCTTTTTGATTTAATCTTTGGAGGTTGGGTATTTCAAGGGATTTATCCATTTATTGTAGATTTTCTAGTTTGTCTATAGACAGATGTTCATAATAGCCTCTGAGGATCTTTTGTATTACTGTGGCATCAGTTATAATGTTACCTTTGTCATTTCTGATTGCTCTTATTTAGACCTTCCATCCTTTTGTCTTTGTTTATCTAGCTAGTGGTCTGTCAATCTTGATTATCCTTTAAAAGAATCAATTTTTTATATTTTTGATTGTTTGTATGGGTATTTTAGTCTCAATTTCATTCAGTTCTGCTCTGATTTTGCTTATTTCTTTTCTTCTGCTAGCTTTTGGGTTAGTTTGTTTTTGTTTTTCTAGATCCTAGAGGTGTGATGTTAGATTGTTAATTTGAAATCCTTCTAATTTTTTGAGGAGTGATTTAGTGTGATAAACTTTTATTATGGAAAATTTCAAAGATATACAAAATAATAAAAATTTTAATAAACCTCATTTACCAACCACCTAGTTTCACAGAATTTATAGTATTTTTCCAATTTCATTTTAACTACATCCCATCTTTCTTCTTCTTCTGGAGTTTCTTGAAGCAAATCTGAGATATCATACCATTAAAACCCCATTATGCATCTCTGCTGATAAGGGCATTTTCCCCTAATCCATCATGTCATTATCACACCTCACCAAAATTACAAGAATTTCTTAATATCATCTAATGCTCAGTCCTTACTCAAATTTCTCTGATTGTCACAAAGATGTCTGTTCACAAATAATTTGTTTGAATCATGAATCCAAAAAAGTTTCATATATTTATACATTGCTTTTAGATGTCTTCTTTCTTTCTCTTTCTTTCTTTCTTTCTTTCTTTCTTTCTTTCTTTCTTTCTTTCTCTCTCTTTCTTTCTTTCTCTCTTTCTCTCTCTCTCTCTTTCTTTCTTTCTTTTCTTTCTTTCTTTCTTTTTTTCTCACTCTGTTGCCCAGGCTGGATTGCAGTGGGGCAATCTCAGCTCACTGCAACCTCTGCCTCCTGGGTTCAAGAGATTCTCCTGCCTCAGCTTCCCAAGTAGCTGAGATTACGGGCATGCACCACCACACCTGGCTGATTTTTGTATTTTTAGTAGAGATTAGATTTCACCAAGTTGGCCACCCTTATCTTGAACTCCTGAACTCAAGTGATCCACCTGCCTCGGCCTCCTAAAGTGCTGGGATAACAGGCATGAGCCACCGCACCCAACCAAGATGATATGTTTCTTTAATGTCTTTTTTTTTTTTTTAATCAGTGCCCCTCTCTCTTTGGTTTTTAATTTTATTTTATTGCTTTCTTGGGAGAAATAGTTGTAGATTACATATTTGATTGATTCCTTACTTGTGATGTCATTTCATTTGTTCTTCTAACTGATGCATTCTCAAAGGGGGTGATGTACGCCCACCAGGGGAAAATCCAAAGGGCCACAGTATATGGAGAGCCATCTTATATAAAGAGAACAGGTGAAGCCATGAGGAAAAAAAAATGCCTAAAAATGCTTCTTGGGAGGGTGTAATGGAGAAAAAGCTGAGAAATACTCTCTAACTCCTAATTCCTATTAACTAGTAGTAGGATTTAGAGATTTAATTAGATTCAGGTTTAAGCTGGGAGAAAAGGAAAAAAAAATAAGTGATACTATGTACATTTTATCATGTCCTATTATGAGCTACATAATATTCAGTGTTTCCATTTTTAGTGGTGATAGGATTGAGCAGTGGGTTCATAGACTTTTAGCTATTACCAAGTAACACATGAGTTTTTCACCCAGTGGATTTAGCCTTCATTGATGATCAAGTCCTGCCTCCATTATTTCATTAAAGATAAAAATATAATAATTTCTCATCCCTATGTTTTATTCTGCATTTATTGACTGAATTATTCCATAAAGAAGAACTATCTCACATTGACTATTTGCCTATCCTGAAATACAATGTATAGGAAAGGTAGGCCAACAGCTAGATTTTTTTCTCTTTAGTTTTAAGATTAAGAGAATAAATTCATGTACTATCAACTTCTAATGGGATCAATTATTTTTAATGCTTTTAGTAGATATGATTTCATGAATTTTTATGTATTTGCTATTTCAATTTTAGTCATTTTTCTTCTTGCCTTGTCTTGTAAGGCAGAAGAAAACTCTTCAAATGGCTTTTACGTCCTTTTGACATGATGCCTGTAGTCTTTGAGCATGTATTTGCCTTCTGGAACAAGTTGTCCCAAGCTCAGTTTGTACATCGATCAAGACCTGGAAATAGGCCAGGCGCGGTGGCGCACACCTGTAATCCCAGCACTTTGGGAGGCCGAGATGGGCAGATCACGAGGCCAGGAGATCCAGACCATCCTGGCTAACATGGTGAAACCCCGTGTCTCTACTAAAAATGCAAAAAAATTGGCCAGGCGCGGTGGCTCATGCCTGTAATCCCAGCACTTTGGGAGGCCGAGGCAGGTGGATCACGAGGTCAGGAGATCGAGACCACGGTGAAACCCCATCTCTACTAAAAATACAAAAAAATTAGCCGTGTGCGGTGGCGGGTGCCTGTAGTCCCAGCTGCTCGGTAGGCTGAGGCAGGAGAATAGCTTGAACCTGGGATGCGAAGCTTGCAGTGAGCCGAGATTGCGCCACTGCACTCCAGCCTGGGCGACAGAGCGAGACTCCACCTCAACAACAACAAAAAATTAGCCAAGCGTGCTGGCCCGCGCCTCTAGTCCCAGCTACTCAGGAGGCTGAGGCAGGAGAATCGCTTGAACCCAGGAGGCAGAGTTTGCAGTGAGCCGAGATGGCGCCACTGCACTCTAGCCTGGGCGACAGAGTGAGACTGTGTCTCAAATAAAAACAAAAAACAAAAACAAAACAACAACAACAAGAAACCTGGAAATAGCCATTTTCCATGGAGCCATGGTTCCTTTCTCATGGTAAATATAATTTGGAAACCTTAACCTCGTCACTAAAAAGAATAGCACTATAGGTGCTTTATCCTTGTTCCTATACCTTTTTTCAGGCTGAACCACAAATATACATATTTTTAAAAACATGGAAACAAACCAGGAGACTGTACTGATATTTGGATTTAAGTTAGAGATCACAGTTTTTTGGCCAACTTCTTTGATTTTAAAAATTTACGTCTTTTCTATTACTCAAAAATCTTGATTCCTAATATTAATGTAATTGTTCATTTGCTCTATATTTTAATAGTGCCAAAATAACAAAGCCATTATTATAATTAACAATAATCAAAGAAATGTAGTTTAACATATCTTTGCTCTTCCTTTCTGAGCTTCCTATTAGATTAGGTTTTACAAGGGATGTGCAAACAAAATACTATTTTAAAGTCAGTTTCAGTAATCCCCTTCTTTGTGTAGTTAAAATAGCAACCTTATATATAGTTGGATTCATTTGTTTTAGTTTGTTTTCAGTTCTTAGGAATTCCTTTTACTTTGCTATTTTAAAAGTATACTATACATTTATACAATTTCAAACTCAAAACTATGTAACAAGGTGCATTGATAGATGTCTTGCTTCTATCTTCATCCCTCTTATCCTCTTCCTTACCTTCTTTTATAGGTAATTATCTTGATTAGTTTGTGGTTTATCCATCTCTTGCTTATTCTTGAGAATATAAGCAAATATTTATATATATATTCATATGTCTTCTACTTTCTTACACAAAATGAGGCATACATTTTCTCTTAACAATTTATCCTGTAGATCATTCCATACTATATATATATATAAATATGTACATATATATGCATAGTGCTTACATATACATACATACATATGCATATATGCACATATATATATGCAATTGCCAAATTTCCCATAGGTGTTATACTATTTAATCTCCCGCCAACAATGTGTGAGTGCTTACTTCTCCATGGCCTCCCCAAGAGAGTACATTGTACAATTTTTATTTTTGTCTATCTGATAAGTGAGAAATGATAGCTCAGTGTAACTTTAATTTGCATTTCTCTTATTATACTGAGGATGAGCATCTTTTCATATGTTAAAGGACCATTTTTCTGTCAATGATCAATTCATATCTTTTGTCCATTTTCTATTGAGCTTTTATACTTTTTCCTCCTTTTTTATAGAAAGTGCTACAATTTTCAATTCTGGCTTAGACCCAAAGTGGCTCTGGGCAAGTTACCCTTTCGTTTTCCAGTAAAAATGATGCTGGTCATTGGGAATATACAAACTGCTTACCAAGTTGAGAGATTGATTCACAATAAAATAAATGATTTCATTTTTGTAATTACTTGTTTGTAGTTGCACTGGTGTTATGTAATCCTCAAACCATTTTATCTAGTTTAGTAGTGAATGAAATTTGCAAGTGGAAATCTAGGTGAATAATCAATCAGAAAAAAACTGATAATATAACAGCATATCATGTTTTAACCTTTTAATAACCTCCCCATGAAAGTAAGGGAAGACCATCACTACCCTCATTTCACATCAAACTCTCACATGCAGAAGCTAATTTATAAATGTAAATCACTTGGGAAATACAATGCAATAGTAATGTAAAATAAGAATGCATATTTTGATTATTTGATATAGGAAACACAGATGTAGGAACCTAAATTGAATAATTCTATAATCATAATTACAACTTCCCAAGCATAATGCTGCTTATTAGATAACTTTGGCTTTTTGTTATAATAAAGCAGACTTTCTCCTTTGCCCTTAGGAGGACACAAATTACAAGACCCCTGACTTTCAACCAGTTGGATCCATTAGCATAGCTGTGGCCAAGAGCATACCAAAAAGATGGAAAGTGAAACAAAATTGACTGTAGCTGAGAAAAATGTCAGCTAAAAGAAGGGATCTGTGGAGTTATTCTAAATCTAAATCTAAATCATAGTTCTAGAATAGACTCATTTCACCCAAAAAATAAGTGGAAAAGATGAAGATTTAACAAACTGCTTATCCTAAATACAATGAATTCTAGATTATTTTGAATTTTATTTTTCCACTTTGACTCTTATTATGAACTGACCTAAGATAATTTGGTTATACAAACTTATTAGGTTCTTTTTAATATATGTTGAAATCCACAGGAAATTTAAGATAGGTAGAGGTTAACTGTTCCCCACAACTTGCTACTAGAATATTCATTAATAAGAATTCATAAAATAGTTCCACAAGTTTGATGTTCTGTTCTCTCTGAAACTCTGAAAAACCCTTGCAGAAAAAATTTACCTAAGGCAAATGCAATACTATTGTAGTAGCCAAATTTAGCTAACTCTCTGAGTCACATGACCAAATATCATCTGGAAAACTTGAGAAGTCCACAATTCTATTCCCAAGGACAAAGGCCAGGATCCATGGACTTTTTTATTTCACGATGTGAGGATAGAGAATTGTCTACAATACTCCAGCAAATGCATCTATATTGAATATACTGATTTCGGCAATGCCATTTAGGATATCCTTTATTCTAATTAACAAGTCACCAATATTAGCGGTTAAAGCCTATTTCTACCTTAGGCACTACAAAAATGAGCAAAGCATCTGGTTTTGATGAAAGATAAAGATAACTAAAGAACTTTTAATAGCTACCTTTGGATAGTGCTTTTTTGTATTGAATGCTAAGTGGCCACCCTTGGTGGGAGATTTCCTGATCAGACAACTACTTGCCCCTATAGTATGGCTTAAACATTATTTTAGACTCTTTATGTTTTACTATTTGGAAGTGTATTACAAATGTTATAACTATTTTATGAGGAAGATAAGGTAATGCTTTTCTTCTTTTTCTTTCTTTCTTTTCTTTTTTTTTTTTTGACAGAGTTTTTGTTCTTGTTGCCGAGGCTAGAGTGCAATGGTGCGATCTGGGCTCACTGCAACCTCTTCCTCCTAGGTTCAAGCAATTCTCTTGCCTCAGTCTCCCGAGTAGCTGGTATTACAGGCGCCCACCACTATGGTCAGCTAAGTTTTCTGTATTTTTAGTAGAGATGGGGTTTCACCATTTTGGCCAGGCTGGTCTCGAACTCATGACCTCAGGTGATCCGCCAGGCTCGGTCTCCCAAAGTGCTGGGATTACAGGCGTGAGCCACCATGCCTGACCTCATTGTTCTTTTATCCTAACTTTTAGGAAAGTTTAAAAATCATTAAATTCAATAGTAATATTTTTATCTTGAGAATAAATCATTAACTTGTATAGTAATATTTTTATCTTGAGAAAAAAATATGCAAAGTACTTCAAAGTTTACTTACACGGGACTCTACTACAGTTTCTTACCCACTGCAATTTCCTCTCATGATAAGTTTCTGATTACCAACAGATATAAAAAAGGCAAGAAGTCACCAACTACTTAAAAGAAGTAGTTTTCTAAGCATATAAACACAAATTCAACCTGCCTTGTGTCAGTATCAGACCAGCACCTTATTTCTTTAACTCCAGGCACCAGAGCATGACAGGTGTAACAGCTCCAAGCAAGTGTGTTTCTATGTGCTGAGGTCAAGAGGGGATGGAGGCATGAAGAGAGTGTGAGAGGCCTTTGGAAATCCTGCTCTAGGATTGGCCTGAGAATATTTCAGCACTTCTATTAATGTTTCTGCTCAACTGCCCTTCAAGTTGTGCCTGAGGATTTTTAAAGTGCAGGGTAGTTGTTAAAGGACAAAGACTAAAGTGTTTTGTGGGAATAACCAGTTGAAGTTGACCAAGATTATAAAGTAATTTGCAAAGCTATTTGCTTCTACACACAGCTTTTAAGTGTTAGAATATCATGCCACTACAAAAGTATTATCTAAAATGAGGTAATATGCTGTATTGCATTGTACAGGCTATAAGCAATTATGGAGGGATATACTTTCTTCACTTGTATTAATAAAGCTGAAGAAAATATAAAGAAATAAAAGCCTGGAGTATATAACAACTCCTGAGGCAAATTGAAAGAAATTATGAAAGAATTCATTGTATTACTGAAACAAAGCAAAATGAAATGCATTGTGACAACATGATATAAATCACAAGATAATATCACATCTTAATAACCAATGCTGAACAGAAGAGAGACTTCTGTGTTGATTTACTGTGTAGAAAATATGACCTGAAAGAAGCCCCTTCACCAGCCAAATCTTTACATACTAGTACTGTCAGCTGTGCTCTCCCTTCAAGTATAGGACTGAGACATCATCCTGAGCAGACAGACATGGGCTGAAAAAAGTTTGGCCAACAATTTTTCTGACCTGGCCCTATTCCGCTGAGTTACTGCTCTGAACCTCTACTACCCTGAAATAAAATCCCAATGTCAGTTTTTTATTCAGCTATATAAACCTACAGCTAATTACCATGTGCCAAAACAAGACTGCAGAAAGTATAATCTATTAGCAATAACTTGTGTCTAACAATATAATTGCATCTGGAATAATGAAATGTTCTTTTTAGTATCAAAATTAATAATGTCATATCAATGCCATTAATAATTAAGGATTCTTTTTATAACATTGAATCATTAATAACAACTGCATTATGAACAATTCTATTAATATCAACACTAAAATAATATCATATTGTCTTTCCATAGTTACAATTTTGCAAGTATAATGAAATGCTGTACACATAATGGACTAGACCCTGCTGTGTCCAAGGTAAGCAATCCTGGAAATATAGTACCCTTTTAGATAAATAAACTATATTTTTGTTTTCCTAGACAGTAATATGTAGATAGAAAAATTCATCATTAAAAACTTAGAAACCACATGAAAATTCTGTTTAAAATTGTCCAGTGCTATGTTTATGGGGGAATTTTGGGGCAGAGCAAAATAGCTGTTATTGTGGAAGTTCTTAGTTTAGTATTAGTTTACTTATTCATTTGGGGATAGATGCATGGACTTACTTTAGCATATGATACATATAACATTTCAAATGTATATGATATTGCATAATATAGTGTATCTCCTTATTTTCCTAGGGAACTGAATCTCAGCTATTTAATCAAGTACTTCTCTTTATCCAAATTTTCTCTATCTCAGCAATGTAGTTTAACACATAAAGATGCCTCTAAATCAGGTATAAGCAAATGATAGCCTGCAGGCCAAATCTGGGACACAGAGTGTTGTTCTAAATAAAGTTTTATCGGCACATAGCCAAATAGCCAAACCAATTTGTGTATTACCTATGGCTGAGTTCACCCTACAACAACAGAGCCTAATAGCAGCAACAGAGACAATATGACCCACAAAGCTGCCTTTATTTACCATCTGGACTCTTTTTTTTTTTTTTTTTTTTTTTTTTTGACACAGAGTCTCTCTCTTGTTGCTCAAGGTGGAGTGCAATGGCGCGATCTCGGCTCACTGCTAGCTCCGCCTCCCGAGTTCAAGCAATTCTCCTGCCTCAGCCTCCCGAGTAACTGGGATTACAGGCGCCCACCACCATGCCCAGCTAATTTTTTGTATTTTTAGTAGAGACGGGTTTCACAATGTTGTCCAGGCTTGTCTCGAACTCCTGACCTCAGGTGATCCACCTGCCTTGGCCTCCCAAAGTGCTGAGATTACATCCATGAGCCACCACGCCTGGCCCACTATCTGGCTTTTTATACAATAAGTGTGTTTACCACTTCTCTGAATAACATAAAATATATTTGACATTTCCAAAACTCAGATAATAAAAAGGAAAAAAAGGAAATAAATAGCATATCCTCAAGAATACTTGTGTTCCTATTTTATATTTCACTATGACATAAGTATAGCAAGCTACTCATTGATGTTTGTTGTTTGAATGAGTATAAATGTGTAATCTTAGCGTCAATGCTAGAAACAGAGATGGATTTCTATAAATCCTTGTTGAAGCAATAAAAAATTAAAAAAAAAATTAGAATTAGAAAGGGTGTATCTTGAAATAATCTTAATGATTTATTCTTGTAAATATTTACTTATAAATATTTTTTATTTTTTTATTTTTTACGTATTTATTTATTTTTGAGACAGAGTCTTGCCCTGTCACCCAGGCTGGAGTGCAGTGGCACCATCTCGGCTCACTCCAAGCTCCACCTCCCGGGTTCACGCCATTCTCTCACCTCAGCCTCCGGAGTAGCTGGGATTACAGGCATGCGCCACCACGCGCGGCTAATTTTTTGTAGTTTTAGTAGAGACGGGGTTTCACCGTGTTAGCCAGGATGGTCTCGATCTCCTGACCTCGTGATCCGCCCGCCTCGGCCTCCTAAAGTGCTGGGATTACAGGCGTGAGCCACCGCGCCCGGCCCTATTTTTTCGTTCTTAACATCAGTAATAAACTATGTGGATAGAAGAAAATATCAGGGTAAATTTTCTACATCTAGTTTTTGTAACTTTTTATTATGAAAAACTCACATGTAAACAAAACTAGACAGAGGAGTAAAATGAACCTTCGTGTACCCTTTTCTAGCTTTTAGCAATTTTCAACTCGTGACCAATGTCATTTTGTCTATACTGCAACTTCTGTCTCCTCCTATATTATTTTTAAAAACTCATATTATTTAATCTTTAAATGACAAAGATTGGTGAATATCTTAAATAAGTATATTTAAACATTGTGGACTTTTTATTTAACATAACTATGATGTCATTCTTATACCTAAAATTAACAATAATTCCTTAAGATTTTAATATATAGTGTGTTCCAATTTCAAATTGCCTCATAAGTTACAGTTTTTAAAAACAATTTATTGTTTAAATTAAGATGTAAAGTAAGGTTTACAGGCTTTTACACCCAGTTTGGGGATTCACAAGGTATGTCCTTATTTTGCTTTTTATGTAGATTATTTTTAACATATACTAATTACAGGGATAAAGAGGGGGGTGGGTAATATTAGTAAAGCACAAAAGCCCTCCAGAGGTGAAGACTAGGAAAGGGCAGTGTGGCATAACCAAAGGTCTTTAGCCATCCAGTCCTCTATTCTAAAGACTCATATCTACAAAGCGGCAGTCTAGGTGAATATACTCCTCCTAATGCTGCTACTTCGTAACAGCTTAAAGTCACCCTTCATTAGTGGCATTTGCTGGTGACCAGGCAACAAAGTGCAGTTATCAACAAATACTTTGTGGTATATTGGGTTCTGGTCCCTGGACTCATCCTCTCTCCTAAAATTTAAGTAGAAATTGCACTAAGTCCTTGGCCCTTCCTCAAAACACTCTCTGGAACAGGAACTCATAGACCAAAATAGCTACAAAACTGACCAGCTCAGACACCTCAAAAATAAAACAAGACAACAAAAGATATATAGCATGTGCGGCAGAATTATTAAAACAGGTAGACCGAAACTGTAAAAAAGAAGCATCTTTAATTTTTTTTAGGAATTTCCAGACTGTTTTCCATAGTAGCTGCATCATTTTGCATCACTACTAAACAGTGTACAAGGGTTCCAATTTCTTCATATCCTTGCCAACACGTGTTGTCTTTTTTAAAAATTATAAACATCCTAACAGGTGTGCGCTAATATCTCATTGTAGTTTTGATTTGCATTTCCCTGATGATTAGTGATGCTTAGCATCTTTTCATATACCTGCTGGCCATTTGTGTCTTCTTTGAATAAATGTCTATTCAAGTCCTTAGCCTACTTTCTAATCGGGTTATTCGTTTTCGAGCTATTGAGTTGCACTAATTCCTTATACATTTTGGAAATTAACCGTTTATCAGATACATGGTTTGCAAATGTTTTCCCCAATTCTGTAGGTTGTCTTTTCATTCTATCCATTGTTTCCTTTGTGAAGCTTTTTTTTTTGTTTGATATAGTTCCACTTGTCTGTTTTTGCTTTTGCTACCTGTGGTTTTTAGTGTTATATCCATAAAATCAAAATAAGGTTGACGCCATAAAGCTTTTCTCCTGTTTTCTTCAAGTTTTACAGTTTCAGGTCTTACATCGAAATCTTTAATCTGTTTTGGGTCAATTTTTGTGTATGGTGTGAGACAAGAGCACAGTTTCATTCCTTTGCATATGGACATCCAGTTTTCTCAACCTCATTTGTTGAAGAGCCTATTTTTTCCACATTATGGATTCTTGACAACTTTGTTGAAGATCAGTTGACTGTATATTTTTGTATTTATTTCTGGGCTCTTTATTCTATTCCACTGTTCTATTTATGTATGCTAGTGTCATATGTTTTAAATTATTGTAACTCTTTAATATATTTTGAAATAAGGAAGTGTAATGCTTCCAGATTTGTTCTTCTTTTTCCAGATTATTTTGACTATTTGGAGTATTTAGTGGTTCCATATATGTTTTAGAATTTTTTATGTGTATAAAAATGCCATTGGGATTTTGATAGGGATTTCATTGAATTTGTATACCACATTGTGTGGTATGGACATTTTAACAATATTAAGTCTTCCAACCCATGAACATGAGATATGTTTTCATATGTTGTGCCCTTTTTAATTTCTTTAATCAATGCTTTTTAAATTTTCAGTGTACAAGTTTTTCACTTCCTTAGTTACATTTATTCCTAAGTATTTTATTCTTTTGATGTTACAGTAAATGGGATTGTTTTTCTAATTTCCTTTTCAGATGGTTTGCTATTACCAGCAATGCCACTTCTGGGTATCTGTTCAAAAGAATTGAAAGCAGGATCTCAAGGAGCTACTTGTGTATCCATGTTCCTGGCAGCACTATTCACAATATCTAAGAGGTAGAAACAACCAAAATATCCATTGGCAGATGAGTGGATAAACAATATATAGTATATATGTTCAATGAAATGTTATTCAACCTTAAAAAAAGTAAATCCTGCAATGTGTGACAACATAGATGAACCTTGAGGACATTAAAATAAGTGAAATAAATCAATCACAGAATGACAAATATTGCATGATACCACTTATATATCTTAAATATTCAAATTCACAGAAGCAAATAATAGAATGGTGGTTGCCAGGAGCTGGAAAGAGAGAGAAATGGGGAGCCCTAATCAAGCGATATAAAATTTCAGTTAAAAAAGATGAATAGGTTCTAGAGGTCTGCTATACAATATTGTGCCTACAAATGATAATACTGCATTGTATACTTTTTAAGCTGTTAAGAGGGTAGGTTGCATATTAGGTGTTCTTACAATTTTTTCAAAAAAATTAACTCAATACAAAAAATAATGTAAAAGAAGCATAAAATATATCTAAGAAAATTAGGAAACATGAGTAATATAAGGTAAAACCAAGACATCATAAAAACAAAAAAAAAATTTAATGAACAGGGTAATAGGGATTAAAAAATAAAGAATGTAAAACAAATTTTTGAGTCCTAAGACCAGATTAGAGAACTCCGTCAGAACGTAGGAAGAAGGGGTAAAAATATAGAAACATAAAGGAAAACAGGTAAGAGAATAGGAGTAATCAGAGGATATTTGAAAAATTATCAAAACTATTTATTTCACAATAATACTAGATGGATGATCTTAAATACAATGGGCTCATAGATTGCTACAGGAGTGGTAAGGAAGCAAATACACATATGGACACATTCTATATTGAGAATATCAAAGAAAAATGAATAATTATAAAAGTTTCTACAGAGAAAAAGTAGATTGCCTACACAGGAATAATAATCAGAATGCTGTCAAATTTATTAAAGCAACACTGGATACAAAAAGAACAAGATATCATATTTTTAAAGTATTAATGGAAAATAAACTTTGAACTTAGAATTTTATATACAGCCAAAGGTTCAGAAAAGATTTTCTTTGGTAAAAAATAAGAAAGGCCTCATAGATTTAACATTAACTGAAAGTCTAATATCAAAAACACTAATGTGATATAGGCTTCAAGAAAAAAAAAACTCACGAGGGTACTTCCAAAGATACAGAGAGTAAGGATAATCAAATACCTTGTAACAATGTATTAATAACATGACTTTAAGTTCCAAGTTGGGGAAACTACCATGCTATGGACAGAACGTTTGTGTTCTCCCAAATTCATATACTGAAAGTCTAATCCCCAAGGTGATGATATTTGTAGGTGAGGTCTTTGGGAGGTGATTAGGTCATAAGGGTAGAGCCTTATAAAAAAGAGACACCAGAGAACTTGCTTTTTTCTCTCTTTCTGCACAATGCAATGTGAGGATACAAGAAGACAGCTATCTGAAAACCAGAAAACAGGTCCTCACCAGACACCAGATCTGCTTGTACCTTGATCTTAGACTTCCCAGCCTCCAGAACTTCGAGAATAAATTTTTGGTGTATATGCCACCTAGTCTGTGGTATTGATTGTATTTTAACAGCCTGAACTAAGACATGCCATAAGAGCAAATATAAATATATAACTTTAAAATAGTGAAATAAAACCCACACAGTGAATAATACACACACAAACGAAAGTTTACAAATGAAAATATATTTGAATGTTTGCCCATGAAAGGGAATGGGAATGGGAAATAGGGGTAAAAGGAGTAAATAAATGAATGAAGCAAGATAAAGCTTTGAATGAATCAATGTCAATTATGAACCATAGATAATTGTGATCAATTCTACCCTTTGCACCTGAAGTCCAAACAAAATACACATATGAATAAAAAGAATGGAAAGAATGATGATGCTTTTCTTTTCTTTAAAAATTAAGCCAGGTATTCCCTAAAACTCAGTTTCCAAATGTACTTCCATTGGGTTTTATTTGCAGCATATGAATACCTACAACAGTAAGCCCTCTGAATATAAATAAAATGGTTTGTGATTCTATGAAAGTTTGATGAGTGACTCCTAGGACAACAAAAAACAACACTGACCTGTTCTCTGCCTGAAAAAAAATGACCAAAGTGACTCTCAATGCTTTATGATGATGAATCGTGCTTAAAAACACAGCCAGTTTCTATGAGAGGGAGTTTTATTGCTTGAGCTAATGGGCACTGACATTTTGCTTCTATAAAATATTATATAGGGTTTTCCAAGAACCCGAGAGATTTTGTTTTCCTATTGCAAATCCATGGAAAGCAAACTGCTATAAGTAGATGTGGTGCCTCTGCAGGTGAATGATTTCTGAATATTGGTTTTTTAACTGGAAGGGGAATTCTAATCTTGGTGGTGCTGGGAAAATCATTTTAGATATTTATGTCTAGTGTTCCATTATTGGAAGACTAAGCATGTAAGAGTTATTTATATCCTACTGCTTAAGGTCTTCACCAAGGTCTGATCGCAAAAATTCAAAAAATTGCAACCTCTGGCATAAAGGCGTTAATTTTTTCCCCATTTTCCCATCTGCTAAGTCATTTTAACACTAGTGTTTGAAGTGAAACAAACTTATCTTCTTAGAATGAGTTGGTTTTGTTAAGGAAGGCTGCCACACAAGAATTCTGGTTTGTGAATCAGTGTAATATCCAATGTAAAACATGAACTGAGGGGTACAAACACTTCTTTACTGAGCAATGTCTCTTTTTTAAATCTTTATTATTATTATTATACTTTAAATTCTGGGATACATGTGCAGAACATGCAGGTTTGTCACACAGGTATACATTTGCCATGGCAGTCTGCTGCACCCATCAACCCATCATCTACATTAGACATTTCTCCCAATGCTATCCCTTCCCTAGCCCCCCACCCCCGACAGGCCCTGGTGGGTGATGTTCCCTTCCCTGTGTCCATGTGTTCTCATTGTTCAACTCCCACTTATGAGTGAGAAGTTGCAGGGTTTGGTTTTCTGTTCCTGTGTTAGTTTGCTGAGAATGATGATTTCCAGCTTCATCCATATCCCTGCAAAGGACATGAACTCATCCTTTTTAATGGTTGCATAGTATTCCATGGTGTATATGTGCCACATTTTCTTTATCCAGTGTATCACTGATGGGCATTTGGGTTGGTTCCAAGTCTTTGCTATTGTGAATAGAGCAATGTCTTTTTAAAAGTGTAATATGTGAAATCAGCAAAATGGGTGATTTGGGTGGCTGCCATTTGGATAAAGGCAGCTAGAGGGAAATCCTGGTGGAGATGGTAGAGAATGGAGGTTGCTTTGTGTCCACTTCCCTTCCACAGTTGGTAGGGCAGAGTAATCCAAACCAGACACTTTCAAACAAAAATTGTATTGTCTTTTTACATGCCTACTGCAGGTTCCAGAATCCTGACTCTATCACTCTGTGGCCATTCTGAACCTGTTTTCTCATCTCTAAAAGAAGGATAATAGCACCTACATGAAAAAGTTATTGTCAAAATTTTTTCAAAAGAAGAAAACAATTAGCATATAATAAGCATTATATTAATTACCTTTCCCGTCCCCTGCTTATGTGTTTTGCTTACCAAGACAAAAAGGTATACAAGCTTCCAGTCTAGATTTTCTTTTTCATCTTCTTGTAGAAATTGCAAGGTCTAGAAATAACTCCTTGAATTAATGTCAGAAGCCACTGTTTGCATTTCCTCTATACATAGAAAATGCGTACTTCCAACATGAACTGGTGGTTAGAAACAGTGCCTAAGGAATAATTACAGGTAGAGAAGGTCTGTGATGAAATCTTTACTTAAGTGTTTTGTATATTTGACTGGAGTCAAGCACATCTCTGTTCTGCTTACTTCTTGGACCTCTTTGACACCTTATATCCCACTCTCTTTGTTCTTGGTATAGAAGCTTATCATCTATGCTGTTCCTGTCCCTACCAGCACCTACCATTATCTCCTCAACCTGAGAAGCCCCTGTAACTTCTGTTTTGCAGAAGGCGATATTCCTAGAATTGACTCCTGTTTCTGAGTATACCAGATGTGTGAGCATGACAGGGACCCAGTCTCCTTTTGGACTTTATATTTGTCCACATTTCTTTAGATGACCTCCCAAAAGATGTACTTAAGGAAAAAAGATTTACCCTGGAGAAGAAAGATTTGGAGTTCAAGCTATCTTAGTAACTATTGTAAAAATAGCAAGCTATCAACAGGGGACAGTTATATTTTATTGGCCCAAGAGTTGCATTTTGCTTGCAAAAGCGTGTTGTGATTGTGCTCAATGACTTCATTTTTATAGTTTTAATAGGTCTAATTTATCCACTTGGCTTAATTTTTTAAAAATTAAGAGGCATTTGAAAAAAGTGAAGTTGCATGCTTAATCCATATCCACACAAATTTTGATATACATTAAAGAGCTACATATAAGATGATGAAAGTACAGTATTATTAGAACAAAATATATTAGCATAAGCTTACATTCTTGGGAAAGGGAGGCTTTTGAAGGCAAAACAAAGAATCAAGATGCCATAAATATGTCAATAAACCCAGTTATCCAACATACCAATGGCAATGCAGATATAATAAAAAGACAAGCATCTGAGAAATACTTTAAGGTATATAATAAAAAATTAATTTCCAAAATATAGAAATACCTCCTACAATTAAAACATTATAGAAATATCTAAAATTATGTAAACAGTAAATTCATAAAAAATGAATAAAAGTGATGACAAACATATAAAATTATCTTCACCCTCACTAGTACTCAGGAAAGTGTAAATGAATATCCTGAAATTAAATAGTGGTCAAATAGAATATCAAAACCTAAAAACACTGATAATAGCCAGTGATGAAAAAGATGCACAGAAAATGCATCATCTTATTTACTCTCAGTGGGAATAAAAATATATGCAGGTCTTTCAGGGGCTAATTTGGTAATATCTATTAAAATTTAAAATATATCTATTTATCCCCAAATTCTGTGTTTAGATATCTATTTTAGAGAAGTACTTGTGCACAAAAAGCCATGTACAAGAATATTGATCCATTTTTATAATTAAAAATACATATAAACATTCATCTATAGGCAATGAATTCTTAAATGTCATATGATACAGCATTAGTCTGGAAAACTATGCAACAGGTAAAAAGTTGAAGAGAATATATGTTTGCTCATGTGTCTTTTAAGTCAGAAAAACACAGCACACTCCAAAATATATACACAATGTATTTTAACATACAAAATTAAACACAAAAAATCAAAATTTTACCTTTATAAGTACATAGAAATACATTTATAAGCAGAAAAAATGGACTGAATGACCATATGAAATTGAAGGGAGTAGCAATGAAAATAATGTTTGAGAAAGAAGAATCAAGAACATTACTAATTAGAATTCATTTATGTGTTCTTTTGTAAATAAAAATAAGAAAAATATGTAAAAATGAATACATTAAAAAGAAGACAGGATACATATATCAAAAAAAAAAACCACGTATCAACCTCAAAAAATCCCACTTACAAAAGGTAAATGAGTCTCATAGCTGATTATAACTCTTGGAGTAAAACATCTAGACCTGATTCAAATCAATGGAGTGTGTAAGTGTTTCTCAGAGAAGGACAGGAGTGTGTTGGGATATAGAGGGTTTTCAGTGTGTTTTAAAGTTAAATGAGCATTATACAAAGAATATATAAATAAAAGATCCACATAAGAGGCAGAAAGTTGAAATATGAGAGAGAAATAATTTCTCTGATTTTTGTAACCATTAACATGTGGTTACCTTAAGACTTAATGAGATTTTAATTAAAACATAAGAACTATTTCAAAACATTTTATGTTGGCTTTAAATATCTGCTTCCATTTAATTCAATGTGAGGAATTAGGCTAGGTTTCATGGAGGAATAAAAAGATGAATCAGATGGAAGACATCAAGGAATTTATAATATAACAAAGAAATGACAGACATAGAAATAAGCAATAGACAATGCATGATTTATGATTTAATTGAAGCAAAAAGACTATGGACACAGATGTTCAATAGAAGTTTATCTGCATATTTTGTAGCAATAATGCATTTAAGCAACAAGCCTAGAACATAGGTCTTGGGATGGCAGTAAAACTTCTATCATTATTGGAGAGTAATGGAGGGAAAGATAAATTCTGATGGTAGAAGTAGAAAAAGGTTTTGGAAGTAGGCAAAGTTTGAGCTTGAGGATGATTTTCTACAGCTGAAGATGGGAAAGCAGTCTTTCCCAGCTGAGAGTAACCACCTAAACAAGGACAGTGAGACAAAAATATTTCATGCTTTTACAATTGAAGGGCAAAAGCCTAGTATTAGATTAATAGAAATGAGGAGTGGTAGATTCAGTTGGGAAGGTAGGTTAGGCCAGATCCTGCCGGTGTTTGAACCTACTTTATGTGCAATGGGGAGGGACTGAAGGTCTCAAACAGGGGAATGACTTTTAATGGAGCTGGATATTGCAAATATTAACGGGTCACAGGCAAAACAAAATTTTCTTTCTGACAAACTCACCAAAATATCTTACATACAATACATATTAGCCACATCATAAGTGAAAAATGAAAAAATGTTCTATCCCAAATTGATAGGAAATAGTATTGAAAAGTTAACACTTTGTTATTTAACGTAAATATTTGTTATATTAACATAATGTAAACATGACATGTTAACATATTTAACATAAATATCATGTTATTTATAAAAAACAATACAAATAGCAAGTTATACGGTGGTGTTTCTCAGGGATGAGCGAGCTCCAAAGCAGAAGCTATAAAATCAACCCCTGATAACCCTCTGAGCCTAAGTACCCATCTACAAAAAAATCATGATGGCTACCTCACAATAATGCTGTGAGGTTTAAATAATAAAATAATCTATGCAATGCCCTTAACATAGGGCTTTATGTGAGCTCTCACCACTGTTAGTGCAAGGCTTATCTGAGAGAACAAAATCTGGGAGCTCTCCTTGGTCCTGACTCAAATAGTTTCAAAAATTACCAACAGACTGAATTATGTGGTTAAGTTCAAAATATTTTTTCAAATTAGTTTGAGACACCCATTGATTCTAGGGGATCCTCTTCATCTGTACAAAAAGATTCATGGGACAGGGTTATATGAGAAAGTAGATGAATGACAATTTATTTCTTTTTAGGTAAGCATTTCCATTTTATTCTATCTAGATGTGTCTGGAATGTTGTCAGACGCTTACTGTTCCTGATAGCACCAACCCTCAGTAGCAGTGTCAGCAAGATGGCTGATGGCTTTGTATTTCTTGTGCCTTCTATTGCCTGAAATCTAACATGGAGTCCTAAGTATTTAACACGTGTGCATATGTTTGTGTATTTCTTCAAAGGACAATTTTAAAACATTAACTTGAAATGCTTGAATATAAAAGCTGAAGAAAGCAGTTTGACTACTTCAGTATTATAATACTGATAAAAATTAAACCTGCTTTTTTGGCAGGAAACAAAAATAGAAATTTAATCCTTTTCTAAGAGTACCATCAAATGGGAAGGAAAAGAGCTTTCACAGTTTAAGAATAAAGTGCTTACAAGTAAAGGAAATATTTGTTTTTACTAGATTTTTGAGCTTTACAAATATACATTTAAATAACCACTTTCTCTGGTATCCACTTTTTGAAATACTCATTTAAATAGCTTTTGTCTAAAACTACCTGGTTTTTTAAAGTGTTCTGCTTTCAATGTCAAATATTTGGGATCCATTTGCTACACTAAAAAAATGGTTGGGCAATGTTGTGTCTTTTGAGATACAGTAACATGACAGAAAGTGACAAATGGGGGAATGTGTCACAATGAAGCATGATATATTATAGCAGAGTGATATCCTGATAATCAAAAAATCTATAATATGCATCTTTCTTTTTATTTGCTGCTACAGCAGAGGAGATTATTCTTATAGATTAGGGACTACTGTCACATCTTAGGTAACAAAGTAAATATATTTCACTACATTAATATTTCTGTATAAGAATGTCATGTGCTTTTTCTTTACTTTCTTTATAATAATTTCAGATTACATTAGATGCATTTACAAATAGAATTCTGTTCTTTTGCCTCACCTGTCCAATGGTAACAGAATAGTGTGAGTCTGAATTCCAAGTCATTAATAAGGAAAAATATTAACGGCAACAATGGACATAGTATGACTGAATAAGAAGACTAGATTTAAGTACAATGGCATTTTGATGATCTCCACAGGATCCTTTATAGAAAAACACAAGAATGCATAAAAACTTCCTAGTTTTAAACTGGAAAAAAAAACCAGATCATTTAAAGACATTTTCAAACAAAAATTGTATTGTCTTTTTACACGCCTACTGCAGTTTTAATATATCTCATATGCTATTTATTCTAAATATTAGCAACTAGTACCATCCAAAATATTCAGTAAAGATGGTCTACCATCATCCTTTTAATCTACAACTAATATTCCCTTGGCTTTTTTTTTTTTCCCAGAGGGGTGTGCATACTTCTCTGTTTCTCAGAAAATTGCTGAGGTGTGTTTTGAAGCCAGAGTAAACTACAGCGTTTGTTATCAGGCATTAGTGGTCCTAATATATATTAACGCCAAAATAATATGCATGATGAATAGAAATGTAACATAGGTCCTAATTATAAGTTGAAAAAAAGCATTTTTATACTAAAACTTCTGTTAAGATGTTTTTTGTTCATTCCATTTTAATTGTGATTTATTTTCTTTATTTCCTCCATTCTTTTATTTGTCAGGAGAAAGGGAAACCTTTTGGCCAATTTGCACAGTACCATCTTATAACTACTAGATTGTGGCTTAACATCAAAAGTTTGTTCTATACATAAGAACAGGTTTTATAAGTGATTTAAATAATTATCCTGAAGGAATTAAATACTAAGCATGATTGTATACTATTTCTACAAGATACAGTGATTTAATATGATGTACTATGAAGTTGATTATTTTGTTCTCAGCAATTTATACTTAAATCTATATATACAAAGTTAGTTCATAAAAACAAAATGGTATATGACTCTTATTTTTACAAGCCAAAAATGCAAATAATCTATTTGTGAAGCAGTCACATGATTTATTCCATTTCTTCTTGCTAGTTAAAAACAATAACAAAAGAAGCATTAGCTCTTTTCTGTACAAACAGGTTACATGGATTCGTATTCATAATTAAAAATTTATAGTACTTTCTCTACAGCATAGGATCATCAGTTTAAATTAAAAATGCTCTGGTAATGTGAGCATCATTTTAGGCATGAAACTCAACTTCTTGCATGTAATAAAATAGATTTTTTAAAGTTTCAAATTAAAGGTTCACATTCAGTAAGGAGGATATTTGGTCATAGGAAATATTTTTTTTTTTAGAAGTGAAAAATTTCGTTCTATTCTAATTGAAGAATGTAAAAACATTAAACATATGGAATGGTATTTTTTACAGGAAAGGAAGGCATTTTATATATGCTCTCTTAGAGATGACATTTTTTCTATTAGAGGTCGATTGACCAGGTTTTTCCCTAATAGAAAACCAGAACCATTTCAGAATTATTAAAATCTTAGGAATAGATATACTTAGTAAGTAATGAAATATATATATCCTAGTATCAAATTATAAAAACAGAGTATCAAAATATTCTAACACAATAATTATCTTTCAGGATACTATTCTTATGTAAAATGTATAATTCTGTCTTAGAGAATGTTAATGTTTCTAGTACCCACAAGAAGGTAAAAATGGTCAGGTTTTAACTTTTAACAATAAATACATATATATTTTTAAAATTCAACAAGGCTTTTATTGTTTGGAAGAACAACATTTTATGAAGGTCATAAATATTTCCATTATCTGCACTATGTCTAAATAACTTCACATCAACAACAAATTTAGTCCATTAAAACCATATCTCTTCCCTAGAAAAAAATGTACCTTCTCACATGAAACAAACTGATTCTTCTGTAATGCCCATGGATAAAGAAAAAATATATAGATTTGTTCTAAGTACTTAAAATTCATCTTTAAGTTTGCTGTGTATATCCACTCTAGGTTAACTTAAACTAAAACTTATTAAACCAGTAGCATTCCAATAAAGGAATAGTATAAGCAGTATATAATGGATTATAGCCATGTCTAATTGCATTAAGTAGTATTATTGAGTATGTTAAGGACACGGCTTTGTGAACTGAAGATACCTCTTATTTTTAAAATCATAAACCTTATCACAGTCTCGTATTTCTGATCTTGCTTCATATCTAAATCTGTTACATAACTCAGTGTAAATAAAAGACCAAATACTGCTGACCTGGGGAAAAAAATAACCGGTACCACTATAACCA
This sequence comes from Homo sapiens, assembly GCF_000001405.40. Classification (NCBI taxonomy): domain Eukaryota; kingdom Metazoa; phylum Chordata; class Mammalia; order Primates; family Hominidae; genus Homo; species Homo sapiens. The sequence goes on along the minus strand of NC_000006.12, from coordinate 98,200,247 downwards.
TAAACAGGCCTTAAATAGGTTTATAGCACATCCAGTATTTCCAACAGAATAATATATTTTTAAATTCAAATAAATCAAAATTATAATAATCTCACATTTATTAAAATATTTAGGAATACTTAGAGAAACTACATGGAATTTTTGTTTCTCTTATTTCCATCCTTCATTTTAGTCCTACTATAATAGTAGATAAAAAGTATTTTGCATTTCAGTTTACAAAATTATACACATGTATGTGCTATTTTCTCAAGTTTGAGAGACTCTACCATAGCAGTCCAGACCTTCCTCTGTTATTGTTAGTAATCCTTTGACCTTACCCTTCTTTCCCACACAGAAGGTCTTGTCAGTTGGTTTCTTCACCATAGAATTTATAATCCATGGTGTGCTGGTAAATGTTTAATACCTGGCTCTCCAGAAGAAAAAAAAAAAAAAGCCTTATTCATAGTCTTTGCTGATTTCCATCATCCACATAGTCCTAGCATGGCCAGTTACAGCCACTAATGTAGAGTCATCAAATGAGCACTTGAGAAGAGATTCACAGTAGCAGACCATTACATAGTGTTTCTACCATCACAAATACTATGGTTGAAAATAAACTAAAGAGCATAGTAAAATGCAGTAAGACAGTTTGGAAGTAATAAGTTATATTTATTGCCTTAGATTTTAATATAGTCTCCTAATTATAGGCTTAAATAATTTAATTTTTAATAATGGTCATTTGAAATAACCAAAATTCCTGAAAATTTAGTAATTTACCCTCATTAGCTGATAAGAGCTCAGCAAACAACTGAGTTTACTCTATGAAATATTTCATAAATGGTCATTTAAAAAATTTGTGCTATTTTAAATGTCAAGTGTTAGATGTATAAATTTTTAAAAGCATAAAAATCAGCAGTCGTATAGTAATCCTACTGGTCATGGCTCTGTCAAATTTCAAGTAGCCAGCATTTCTATGTGTCTTATAAGAAAAAGAGAAATGGGTTTTTCTTTTTACAGTTTTTAAGCTAATAGAATTATCTCTTTTAGGTCCGATTCTTTGGCCATGCCATCATCCTTAGTGGATACATTGCTTATTATCTTTGCTAAATGATTTGTATCCTTGAGGATATTCCAGGAAACACTTTCTACTTACATTGGCTCACTCCCTGAGAAAGAAAGGGATTGATGGATAGACAATGGATACAGATCTCCTTTGAGAGTTTCACACTGATATGAGCAAAGGTGGCCCTGGAGGTAGAAGAAAGGCCCCTAATTGGTCTGGGGTGAATGTTTTGAATGAGATGTTAATGTATAAATCAGCCTTTATTTTTCTGGGTTACCATCACTGCTCCTTCTATGTGAAAAAATAAGGCAATGAATTCAGAGCATGTCTCTTCACTTTTCTAATTTAAAAACTACCTTACTGGCATACGACTACATTGCTGTCTCATCTGTTGCCTAAACTGGCCCTGAAGCAGCAGACAGGAAGACAGTAGGTTTGGTCAATGAAACATGAGACAAATGCATTACGGCATTAGAATTCCTAATGAATCAGTAGTTCCCTAATAACAGGACATTAAAGTTCTACCAGACGCTATCTTTCATGGCTCCGTGTAGAAAAAAGTCCTTTAAATCACTGGGAGATGGTGCTCTTTCTAGCTGAGTGTATTACCTATAATCTCCTAAAGATCAAATTTTAGAGAAGAAAAATATAGGGAACCTTTTTTTATGAGAGGTAGAGAATAAATTAAGATTTTGGGGGTCCACTTTTCATCATTAAGTCTTACTATAATTCTAAACTCATTTTGGATACAGAAATTTGATGTCTTTTGAAAAATATTGTTTTATGTAGCAATTTTTAAATTGCAAACTTCTTGCTTGAAATTTAAACTGGTAAAATTTCATTAACATTATTGATATTATGTACACGCATTATAATAACTTGTGGTTAGGACAGAAATCATTGATGATTATTAGGAGTATTTTATTTTAATATTTTTATTATGCCCACTTCTCTTTTTTATTGTAGGAATCTATTTTAGCTAAAATCCGAGATTCTGACCCTCATCTGTGTTAACCATCAGTGCAATTGGAATGAGTAATTTTTCTTCCACCCATCATTCCACATGAGAATGTGAAGTTTTCTCATATCATCTGGATCTAAGATGAATGAAACTTGACACATTTATTTAAAGGAGCTTCTTAACTATATCATTACTACATGAAACAATCTAAAGTTACTTTTGACATTTCACAGTATGTGAAATTCACTGAGAATTAAAGTAAAATAAAATAAGTAACTGAGAAGAGAAAACAGTTATTTGACTTATTTTTTCCTCTTTATATTTGTAACATAGTAGAGATAAAAATCATGAAGCCAGTATTCATCAATGTACCTTTGTTAACCCTTTAATAGCAATCCATATCTTACTGAATGCTGATGTAATTGGTTATAACATTAAGTAGAAATGTTGTAGAGTATTTCTTAATTGATAGCTCTTAATTAAATAATTGATTTAAATAGAAGATATTAATTTGAAATAGTCAGAGATATAGTTTTTCCCAGAATGAGTTTATTCTATTTTAAATGCAAACTCCTGGATGATAAAAGCAAAATAAATTAAAAGCCTACCTATTTTTGAAAATGTTTTCTCTCCTGAAAATAGAAAAACTGATGTTCTCATTGATGAAGAATTAACTGGGCAGTTAATTTCAGGTTGTTTTCATAGCAAATACAATGTTTTCAACCAAACTCTCCAAACTTTTCACCTTAGAATAAAACTACATTTAATAAAATAACCAAAACTATCAAGGCAATAGGTTTTTTAAACCACAACTTACTTCATATTATTACTTCATATTGCTTCATTTTTAATTATATATTTTAAGAACTGAATTTTCAATAGAATGTACCACATTAAAATTTCAAGTTCAAACTCAGTTTCTTACTTGCTTAATTGTTGCACTAATTGTGGATAAATATATGGCTTTTTGTAATTATCACAGATAAAAGCTATTGACAAGGTTACTTCAGAAACTTTGCAACAGATACTGAATGTAGAGCCTGAGTTTATGTTCATTTTATTTAATCCCTACTAGAGTGACATATTCAATCTCTGACCAGTTTGGAAGGCCAATGCTGACTACATAACCTATTATAAGTGTATTTTGCTTGCTTTGCTGATTTTAAAGTAAATGGTAAAATACTGCAGATTTGTCATACAGTATATTGATGAAAAGCACATTATATCTACCATGCTCAATAAGTAACCTATTTAAGGTTTGAAAACGAATGCATTATCAACTCATATATAAATCCCACTACATCTTAAATAAGCAAGGGCTTTTGAAAGATCAAATATAAAGCATCAATTTAACCTTTTCACCAGAATTTTGGTTCATGAATAGTCTGACCTCTGTATGGATCAGTGGAATAATCTTTTAGTTTGAGTAAGCCTCTGTCTCTCAATATAGCTTATTAAGTTATCAACATTTAATGTTACTGAACAATTTCCACCTGGTTTCCATTCTAAGATTTTAAGTATGTATTAATGTGTGTGTTCACAAGGGAGTGACCAGGGAATGCTGTTGTCACTGGAAAAATAAAGGAGTTCAAATAATAAATTCTTGAAACGGTACTGTATGAAGCATGTCCTTAAGTAAATTTAAGACATCAAAGAGTGTAACATAGAGAAAAAACTTAAGAGAGCCAGAAATATGGTGAGGAATACCAAATTATAAATGGGTTCATGTTTTTAAAACCTCCATATTTCAGGCTATGTGACCATGGTCTTATTTGTATATTCCAGAAACCAGTCTGGGTATAATGAAGTGTGAGAATCTGACTTTGGACTTGGGTTTACATTGCTGTTTGTATTAATTATGTAGAAGTCAAGGAGATTCAGTGTAGTTAGGAGAAAGCTATTTATCTTCTGAGGATTTTTGAGAATTTGAATTCTTTGGTGTGAGGTGGGGAGGTGGTTAGCTTATTTCTTTTTTTTTTTTTTTTTTGAGACGGAGTCTCGCTCTGTCGCCCAGGCTGGAGTGCAGTGGCAGGATCTCGGCTCACTGCAAGCTCCGCCTCCCGGGTTCACGCCATTCTCCTGCCTCAGCCTCCCAAGTAGCTGGGACTACAGGCGCCCGCCACTACGCCCGGCTAATTTTTTGTATTTTTAGTAGAGACGGGGTTTCACCGTTTTAGCCGGGATGGTCTCGATCTCCTGACCTCGTGATCCGCCCGCCTCGGCCTCCCAAAGTGCTGGGATTACAGGCGTGAGCCACCGCGCCCGGCCGCTTATTTCTTAATGACTATTAATTGAACTAACACACCAGGATAAATCTATCAGTTATTTTGGAATTTCTAGATAAAAGGCCTGAAAAAAATGGAGAAACAGCAATCTTTGTAATCACAAAGTATTAGAGCCCTTTCCATGAAACTACAGATTAATTTTTCTACAATGGAAAACTGATCATATGTTAGTCTCCTAAAATCCTAAACTGACCATTTATAATTTGGGGTTTCTTATGTTTCTTGCCTTCAGTGATCTTCAAAACTTTGAGAATAAAGTCTATGCTGCTTTTTCTGGAGTAAAGTTTAGGTCTGGGTTCTGTCTCCTGATTCTGATTCCTCATTCTTTCTATTTGTCATGCATATTAAAGGGTTTGAAGATACTTGAATATACTTTGCTCTCTCAACCATCATTGCCTTGCACACACTACCAGAAATACCCTTTCATTTCAAATTTCCCTTCAAACTTCTTTATCTTACCTGCTTTGGAACTTCTTACATGAGTCTTATTTCTACCTCAAGTTTCAGTTCAAATAGGCCTGACCAAGTTATCTTCCCCAATTTTCCTCAAGTTCCTCATTCCCCAGCTGTTTGAGGCATTCCTCCTATGTGCTCTGATAACTCTCCTCACATTTCTATCAAAGCATATAATGATATTGTACAATAGCTATTAATTTATTTGTTTTTACACTGCAATAAAATGCACATCCCAGGGCTATGACTTTTAACACCAAATCCCTTATTATTAGTTCTCAGCCCAGTGTCTGAAAGTAGTAAGTCTTGGAATAGTTTGTTAAATAAATACTTACATTGTCTTGAAATTAGAGGGTAGAACTGAAAACCATCAGCAAATTTGCCATTTTGGAAAGGTAGAATTGGGAAAAAGGCTATCAAAAACAAAAGCAATCACAGCTAAGAAGACCCAAGACTTTGGTCACAATCCTTGTCAGAATAGAATTTGTACTTGAAAACAGGCTTCAGGACTAGATTTATGTCCTTGGCTAAAACCACACTCTCGATTCCATAATGCTGCTACACGTGGTCCTGGAAATTATACCTGCTGCTAGGATTGTATCTGCCCCCAACCCCAGCCCATCCCCAGTCCATGTTTCTCAGGGATCTCCAATTAATTTATCTCTTTGAGTTTTTCCATAAGCTATCAAGAAGGATGCACCCCTTTCATATACAATAATGACTTTTAAAGAACATATACCTTAGATGGCCAATACCTATCCAGTTCCATAGAAAAGACCTCTCTGGTACTGACGTTGATAAGAGATACACAAGCTCTTTTTGAAGTTTTTTTTTTTTTTAATTTTAATTGTGGTTTAAAAAACCATATTACATGAAATTTACCATCTTAATCATTTTCAAGTATAAAGTTCAGTAGTGTTAAGTATATTCATATATTTACAGATCTCCAGAACTTTTTCATCTTGGGTACTAAAATTCTATACTCATTAAATGACTCCCCTTTTCTGTCTGTCCCTAGTCCCTGGATCACCATTACTTTCTATTTCTATGAATTTGACTACTTTAGATACTTCATGTAAGTGGGATCATATCGTATTTTCCCTTTTTGCGATTAACTTATTTAGCTAGCATAATGTCCTTGTGATTCATGCATGTTATGACGTGTCAGAATTTCCTTTCTTTTTAAGGATGATTAATATTCCATTGTATATTTGAATATCACATTTTGTTTATTCATTCATCTGCCAATGGACATTTGGATTATTTCAACTGCTAGGTTACTGTAAATAATACTTCTATGAAAACAAGTGTGCAAAGTATCTCTTTGAGACTTTGATTCTTATTATTTTGGACCTATAATGAGGTTGCTGGATCATATAGTAGTTCTAATTTCAATTTTTTGAGGAACGATTATACTGTTATCCATAGTGGTTGCACCATTTTACATTCCCGCTACCAGTGTACAAGAGTTCTCATTTTTCCACATCCCTGCCAACACTTGTTATTTTCTGTTTTTTGTTTGTTTTTATAGAAGCCATCTTAACAGGTGTGAGATAGTATCTTACTGTGGTTTCAATTTGCACTGAGATAGATATACTCTCCATTATGTTGTTAAGCGATTAAATCCAGCTAGGTTTGCATGAACTGTTAAGTTTTTATAATTTCATTAAGCTAGTTTGAGTTTCTTCACTTGCAATGAAAAGAATCCTGTCTAATGTATTTATCTGTCCTAATGTACCTCCACACTTCCCCACCTAGGTTTTACTGCTAGGTGCGATATGCCAACACAAATCTAACTGATGAAGTGTCTTCAACAGTTAATATAAATCCTTTTTAAAAATGCAAATGTACCTTCTAATGTTGAGAAAATTTTAATCAAACTTCGTACGAACAAGCCTTTATTATGTAGCTTTCTCCCAACATCTAGCTAATGGAAATCCCACTGAAGCCTTTGTAGCTACACTTACATCAGGAAAGAAGAAGAGTAGGAGAAAGAAAAGTGTGAGCACGAGGAGGGTTAGGAGGAGAGAAAGAGGATAAAGAGGAGGAGTAGAAAGAAGAGCGAAGAGGGAAAAATAGGAGAGGAAGGAAGAAATACAGAAAGAAACTTGAAATAGAGAAAGAATAGAAACTTGGTATTCTGGAGCACTTTGTGCCTTGGGGCCTCCTCTACCCTGCATTTTGCATCTAAGCTGAAGAAGTGCACCAAGGGGCCACTCAAGGGCAGTAAATGTTGGGAAATATTGGCTCTCCAAGATGGAGGCTGGGCTAGGAAAGAAGACAAGAGGATGTCAGATTTCCTATTTTATTAGAACAAATCTTTGAGTAGGAAAATAAGAGAATCCTCTTTTCTGAATTTCATGGTCTCCTACCCTAGATCTCAGCTTTCAAGTTTATCATAATGAAACACTGAATATTGATGTAACCACAGTTATGATGTAATTATAACAAAAAGGTGGAGGGATGGAGTTTAATCAGAGAGGTCCATGGTAAAACATTATTAGATAATACTAACCTGAAAACTCAAGAAAAAAATTAAGTGTTAGCAACTTATTTATAAATATGGTGGAACTATAAGAAACAGAGACGAATGTGGTATAGGAAGAAATAATTGCATTTTAAAAAGTAATTACAATGAATAAACTGGAATCTAAGGTTGGCAGGGGGTGCAGGGCTACTGTTTATAATTATAAACTTCATAAAATTTTCACTTAGAACCATATCTATGTATAACTGAGATAAAAATATAAATTAAGAATTTAAAAAAGAAACAACCCTTACAAGTAACTACCAAACAGTTAAGAGTATGCATACACACATACATGTGTGCACCTATGTATTTGTGGTATGTAGTGAGAAGTGTTCGTGTGTGTCTATGTGTTTGCCTTGTGAGTCTTTTTAACAAAATGAAATCCTATTAAACTCCTGCAATGTACTTTACCTTTTGAGAACATACCAGAGATATATTTCACCCTTTTTATGTGACATAATTATATACATGTATGTTCATTTAATTCCCCGTCCCTCTGATGATGGGTTTCATATGCTTTTTAGAAAGTATTTTTGTCCTCATTTGGGGGTGGGTATTTTGCAAATAATAAATATAAATGAATTTAGTATTGATTTGGTATCAGAGATTATTATTATTATTATTTATTATTATTATTATTATTATTATTTTGAGATGGAGTCATGCTCTGTCACACTCTGCACTCCCAGGCTGGAGTGCAGTGGCATGATCTGGGCTCACTGCAAGCCCTGCTTCCTGGGTTCAAGCGATTCTTCTGCCTCAGCTTCCCAAGTAGCTGGAACCACAGGCGCCCACCACCACAGCTGGCTAATTTTTTGTATTTTTAGTAGAGACAGGGTTTCACCATGTTAGCCAGGATGGTCTTGATCTCCTGAACTCGTGATCCGCCTGCCTTGGCCTCCCAAAGTGCTGGGATTACAGGCGTGAGACACGACGCCCGGCTGGTATCAGAGATTATTTTTAGTAACAAGAATAAAAACTAAAGTGAAAGACAGCTATTTAGACAACTATAGCACCATGTAATGAGTTCCGTGGAGGTTTGACAACAGAGTTTATAATAAATATATATTATAGAAGTAGAGGTTCATGTGACTTCCCACCTCCACAAGAAAAAATATTACAATGACAAAAAGATTATAAAACTATACAGAATACTTTGTATCAGTCAAAAAAAAAAAAGAAACGTAAGTTCATTTATTTCCTAAGAGAGTAACAATCATATATTTTTATTGAGATATAAAACAAAATTAAAAGCTTTGAGTAGTTTGTTATATCTCAACTGACCATGATTTAGTAAGGAGGAAAATAGGGAGGGAAGGAAAAAAGGAGAAAGGAAGATGAGAGGAAAAGATGGAAGACTCAATTTAGAATATTAATAAATACACTTTTTTTCCAAATTGGTATTCATTCTTACATGTATAAATCTTAGTAGATGTTAATATGTCTTTTTTGTTCTGTTTTGTTTTGTTTTTTGAGACAGAGTCTCACTCTGTCACCGAGGCTAGGGTACAGTGGCACAATCTCGACTCACTGAAACCTCTGCCTCCCAAGTTCAAGCGAACTCGTGCCTCAGCCTCCTGAGTAGCTGGGATTACAGGCATGTGCCACCAATCCTAGAAAATTTTTGTATTTTTAGTAGAGACAAGGTTTCACCATGTTGACCAGGCTGGTCTCAAACTCCTGACCTCAAGTGATCCACCCACCTCGGCCTCCCAAAGTGCTGAGATTACAGGTGTGATCCACTGTGCCTGGCCAATATGTCTTTAATAAGAATAACATTGGTTGTTTATTAGTTGAATAATTTCAGAAAACAAATTGTGGGTAATAGAGGTGGGTTTCTAGGATTAATTTCATGAGATCATGTAAAAAACAAGGTAACCAACTCTGATGGTATTCTGCTGTTAGTCAATGTTCTTAAAACAATTATATATAAATTGCTAATATATGTTTATGTCATGTTAATGAACACAATCTGAGAGGTCATGCAAACAGAAAAAGTTCTACTAGAACATAGTTTACATTATTAAAAGTTCTTTTGGTTTAAGTAAAATAAGCAGAAAACTCTTATAGCTAAACTTTTCAGTAAAGGTCCGAGCTGAGGCACTCACTAAATTTAATTCTAGAACCAATATAAAGATGTCTGGTATCTTAAAAAGTAAACCAGAAGCATATATTTAATAGAAAAATATGGTGTTGTGAAAGGTCAAATTTCAAATCTATAAACTCAAGGGTATGGTTAAAATCACAGACGAATGAGAGATTTGATCCCAATATTGAAATCAAATTTAGTTTTCCTATTGAGAATGAAAAACAGAGTCACCAAAATTTGATTTTAGATTTGAAAGAGAGTGATACTAACTGATTTTGCTGGGTTTAACCCAGCATCATTTTTAAGAAACGTCACTAAAAGTTGGGCCAAATCTATAGATATATGGGGGGAAAATTTCTCTAATTCAAGAAGCAAATTACAGATGCTGAAAAGGCTAATATTGTAAACAGCTATTGGCAGAAGCTATTCACAGTTTATGGAATAAAGTACTATAAAGACTGGAATTTCTGGGCACCAGAGTGCTGGTTTACTGACTCTTGTAGAATGACTTTAAAATGCTTTCATTCAGACCTCTAGCCAGTGTGTTATAGATACAAAGAAACAGAGAAGCAGAGAGTCACTTAGTGTAATTTAACTTTACTTTTATTTTAGTATACACAAATGTACACATATGCATATGCAAAACGAATATTACTTTCCTTTATTCCACTTTGTAACTTTTGGCCAAGAGTTCACAGGTTTAAGAATTAGGCAAATCTGAGTTTAAGTTTTGGCTCTGCCATCTTATTCTGTATGATGTTGGGCAAAGTACTTTAACATATTTACCCTGTTTCCTCATATGTAAAATGAACATAATAATAATTTCCACATCAGAAAGTTATTATGATCCTTAAGTGAAATAGTATAAAACATATAGTCAGTGCCAGGCAAATACTGAATGACAACTATTGTTAAAGAAAAAAATTATTCTGACACTTGTTAAGACATTAAGGAAGACTTTAGTCCAGGCTATTACAATAGCAATATTGCAATAGGAAAGAGAAATCTGGGCTCAACTCCAAATACAGCAAAGACACCTGGGAATTTATAGCTGGAGAACACAGTCAGGGGTCAGTGAATGAAAAATTACTAAGAAGAGACATCAGGGATAGTGGGGTAATTCTTGCTAAACTGGCCTAACAGGATTCTAGCTAAAGGTAGGCCAAGAAATTATATTTCAAAGGTGGGAGATGGAGAACGTGCTCAGGTATCAAGAACTGGGCATTCTCAATGCACTGACTTAGCAGGATTCTTGCTAATATAGGATGGGCTAGCCAAAGACAGGAGGAAGAAAGAGAGGAACAAAGTCCAAGACCTTTTGAGAAGAGGGCCCAGAGGACCTTGACTAAATTTGGGTTACGGATTAAGTCTTTGTCGCTATATAATATCAAACATCCCACTATCCTTTCAATTATTTGACTTCAACATATTGCTCTTACTAGTCAAAGAAAGTCCAAATACATTTTATGCCTACTTTGTATGTTTTGCATGAGTTTTCTTCAGGCTTTTAGTTGTCTGTATTCAATGTGAGCACTGTTTTGCCAAAGTATGATTTTTATTCATTGACATAAAATCTCCACAAACTTAGACTGCTTGTTTCTTAAGTTTTCTTGCCTTCAGTAACAAGACCTGAGGTAATCTTAGTTTTTTCTATGTTTATGAAATATCTGAATTATTGCTTTTACAGTGTTTAAAAATGCCCAGCATATCCTTACCCTAACAATAAAAAAATTAAAGAAGTCAGATGACATGAAAACATTTTAAGTTCTATAAACATATTTAAAGCATGGTTTTCTTCATGAAGAATCAAAATAAAGTTAGAATTTTTTATAAAATTTAATGTCATATTTGTACATGACGTTTTATTTTACAACAAAAGGGATATGGCTTTATATTATATTTCATGATGTCATAAGCCTATTATGGTGAAGAGAAAGGTATGCTGAATTGGCCATAACTTTTTCATGACATACATTGGTCTTCACAGGAATATATACATTTTTAAAAACTATGAGCATAGAATAGTTGTGTACCTTTGATAATAGTGGTTTTAAGTTATCCATTAAAAACTTTTTCTTGTTAAGGGTCTGCCAATTTTAATAACGCCTTTCTAATTTGTCATGTGTGCATTTTTACTTTAGAAAACATGTACCAAATCTCTATTATTCCTCTATGTCAGTGTTATGGTTTTACATATTGCTAAATCTCAGACAGATAAACAGATTCAAATAAAATTTGGTGATAAAAGAAAACAGCAGCTACTGTATTTTTCTTCTACGTCAGTGTTATGGTTTTACATATTGCTAAATCTCAGGCAGATAAACAGATTCAAATAAAATTTGGTGATAAAAGAAAACAGCAACCACTGTATGTTGAGAATTTCGATGGCAACTTTCAGCCGAATGTGAATTAAAATGGCTAGGTTATAAATCCCCTGAAAATAAGGTTTATAATGGAAATGCTGACAGGCATTTAACGATAGCAGCAGTAGCTGGCACCACTGTAATAAAAGGACTTAAATGAAAAAAAAAAATGTATGCCTCACAAAGACATGCGGATTTCAGGGTAAAGCTATATGCAGACTCAATGTAAGGATGGATGATAATATGCCTGAGCAATTATGATGCATGGGTGTTAGTAACAAAGAATCTTGAAATTCAGCTTCCAATCAAATTGTGAAAGAGTTTAAAGAAAAACCTGAATGCAGCATTCTTCAGTTCTATTACTCTGGCACCATCATCCTCTTATGAATATATTTTATTCATGCTTAGTATGAGAGCAGAGAGGAGCTTAGTCAGAAACTGATTCCTAGAAAACAACATGGGTATTTCAACAGTCAATCCTTTGGAACTCTCATTTTAATGAATCATTAAAGCATTGGTAAGGCATTAGGTACAAGAAAACAAACATTTTTTCAGGGACACCACTAGATTTTTATAGTTCTGTTTCTTTCAGGTTCCTCCCTAGAGAGGATGATAACCCTGAGTAGCTTCTCTACACTATCTGCTTATTGAAAGTGCCCCCTCTGATGATATCCAAGTAATAAATTAGTGACTTAGTTTTCTTTCTTCTTAGCAGTAAGCCACATACTAACTCATTATTTTTAACTTCTATTTTTAAATTTAAACTCTTTTGTTTCAGAATAAATAAATGGAAGTTTAAAGTGCCATATTTTTATGATTGTGGCTATAAAATAAAATAAAAGGGGATTTACGTCTGCTAAAAAGCAGACTTTAAAAAAATCTCTTCATAGGTGCCTATAGATCCAAACTGGTCATTAGTAAATTCTTGTTTCCAGACACCTGTGCCCCAGGTTAGTCCCAAAGAGCTCCACTCTAATTCTTCTGACGAATAACAAGCTCTTTGGTTATTTTGGGAAAGAATCTTCTCCAGGAATAGAATAAAGGTATACTTGTGTGAGTGTCTGTGTACTCTTTCTTCATGCCTATAAATCCCACCCAAACTGTCAAGGTTGACAATCCAAAACGATAATCAAAACCACTTTTTACATTCCTTCTTGTAACTGCCGCAGGCAAGTTTTAAAAGATATGCTAACAAATCCCAAAGAATAGCTGGTATTAAATATTTGATATAACCTGAAATGAATACTGTAGATATAAAATTTAAGTCACATAGCGCTTTAATTTCTTATCTATAGGTAACTGTAGTAGTGTGTGTGCATATATATATGTATGGTTTAATTTTTAATTATTTAATGGAATTAAATAATTTAAATCAATTAATTTTAAAATATGCACACACACTATATATATTATATATATGTATGCTTTTTTTAATTCACAGAAGGTTTATGAAAAAATTTCTAAAAACATTGCTGTTTTATAAACTAGATTATTTCAGTACTCTAGTACCAAAAGCAGCACATCAAAATATTTATCATTAGACATTTTAATATACATTACTGTTTTGTATAAGCCTATTGTATGAACTATACCAAATATAATAAAAAGTGAACAAACTATACATGCACAGTGAATTTTTTATTAAGTAAACACATTAGTTTAACACTACACAGATTAAGGCAAAGAATATTAGCAGTACCCTAGAAATATTCCTCTTTTCCCATCCCAGTTATCACCAACTGCAAAAGTGGCCAGTTATCTTACTTTGTGTTTCTCAAGAATGAACTGTAAGATGAGGGTTTGGGCACAGGTGGTTTATTTGAGAGGAGACCCCAGGGTTCACAAGGGAGGGTGGGAGAAGTGATACAAGAAAGAGAGAGATCAACAAAATGTGTGTCAGGGACTGGGTTAGTGCAGTGGGCAACTGGATCTCAAGGTACATGGTGTACCTTGTAGGAATATCCTACAATTTATCCATTTCTCTGACAATGGACATTTGGATTATTTTCAGGTATTGACTATTTTGAATAAAGCTAATATGAATATTCTTGTATTTTGGTATACCTGTGTATACATTTCTGCTGAGTGCTTACCTAGGAATAGAATAGCTTGTTAAGTGGCAGGTATGTGTTCAACTTTAGTTGATGCTGTCAAACATTTTTCCAAAATTATATGGTACCAAAGAAGTATACTCCCGTCAGTAGTTTATGAAAGTTTCAGTATTCTCCTTTGGCCTGAAGAGCTCTTTTTAGTATTTCCTTTAGTTGATGTCTCCTGAAGACAGTATCTCAATTATTTTTTTTTTCAGAATATGTCCTTATATTGAAATAACTTATTGTCGAAGGATATATGTGTGTGCTTGCATGTGTGTGTGTGTGTGTGTGTGTGTGTGTGTATTTCGAAGCTGGCATATATTCTCTCACAGCTCTAAAGATACCATTTTAATTTCTTCTAGTTTTCATTATTGGTATGAACAATTGGCTGTCAAGCTTATTGTTGTTCCCTTAAAGTTAATGTGTTATGTTGTTTTGTTTTGTTTTTTCCTTAGCTATTTTCAAGATCTTCTCTTGGTTTTGGTTTTCAAAACTTTTTCTATCATGGAGCTAGTTCTATCATGGTAGTTTGTATTTTCCTGATTAGTTTCTGAAAAATTGATGTACTTGTGGCTTGATGTTTCTTGTCAGTTTTGAAAAGCTTGATTAGGATAGCCTCCAATACTGTATTTTTTTCTTTTAGAGTTTGTTCTGATATGTTACTAGTGTTTTACATTATTTATTTTTATATTTATATATTTTTAACTTTTAAGTTCAGGTATGCATGTGTAGGTGTGTTCTATGTTAAATTTGTTTCATAAGAGTTTGTTGTACAGATTGTTTCATCACCCAGATATTAAGCCTAGTACCCATTCGTTATTTTTCTTGATCCTCTCCCTCCTCCCACCATCCATCCTCTGGTAGGCCCCAGTGTCTGTTGGTTCTCTATGTGTCCATGTGTTCTCATCTTTTAGCTCCCACTTATACGTAAGACATGCAGTATTTTGTTTTCTGTTCCTGTGTTAGTTTGCTAAGCATAATGGCCTACAGCTCCACCCTTGCTCCCACAAAATATATGATCTATTTTATGGCTGCATAGTATTCCATGTTGTATATGTACCACATTTTCCTTACTTCATCTGTCATTGATGGGTATTTAGGTTGATTCCATGTATTTGCTATTGTGAATGGGGCTGCAATGAACATGACATGTGCATGTGTCTTTATGATAGAATGCTTTATATTCCTTTGAGTATATACCCAGTAATGGGATTGCTGGGTGGAATGGTGGCTATGTTTTTAGGAACTAGTCTAGTAGCATTATATCACAAACCTCCTAATTACCTGATATAGATATTGTATTCATTACCACTTGGGTGCTTTTGTGCCAACCATTACAAATCCACTTAATTATACTGCCATCCAGACATCATTTTTCCATCTTGTATTCAAGAATATTATACTGATGGTATTTTTCTTCTCTACAAGACTGCTAATTTTCTGAAGAAGGAAGTCAAGTTTGTTTAGCATGGCTTGTTCTCGACATTATCTGTGATGATTCCACAGAATATTACCTTACAAATTCTTAATTAATCAACAACTAATTATTTTTGGGGACAGATCAAAATCATTGATTATTTACAAATTTATTTATATATTGATCACGTTTTGCTTACTTGGATGATTTTTGGAAGCCATCTGAATAGTCCAAATTTTTAATGAACACAGAAGTCTTAATCAATAGCCCTTTTGGGACTCCAGATGATCTCCTCTAAAGAAGATAGGCATCTTTTTATATCTATTCATCTTAAGTTTCAGATTTGAGTTAAAAATTTGCTAGTTCTGCTTTTTCAAAGTTTAGTATCATTCTTTGTAATGAAATAAATAGAAATCTTATAAGAATTGAGTATTTCTGCTTTCTCTCTGTCAGAGTTTATTTATATCACTTCTCCAGGCCATGAATCTTCCTTAGTAGACTTTTAGCTCAAATGTCCTTTTTTGTTGGCCTTAACATTTTATTTGGCTTCAAAAATTTCTTTCAGCATTTTAGTATATCATGATTCTTAAAAAATTCTGACACTTATAAAAATTATATATTTTTTTCTAATTAAAAAGTAACATATGACTGCCACTTTCAGCTTCAACATGCAAAGATCTTGGAAGTCATCACTCATGTCCTTGCAACAACAACAAAAAAGCAGAAAAAGTTGAAACTCAATGTCTTTCATTAGATCCACCAGTGAACTAATATTGCAGGGAAAGCTGTCACTCCAGATCTGGAGAGGTGAATCTAGAGTCACAGGTGAGATCTGCTTACTTGAAGCAGACATTCCTAAAGCCATAATCTGATAGGGATACTTAAATAATAATTTCAACAAAGCCTGGGTGCAGTGGCTCATGCCTGTAATCTCAGCACTTTGGGAGGCCGAGGTGGGCGGATCACTTGAGGTCAGGAGTTCAAGACCAGCCTGGCCAACATGGTGAAACCCTGTCCCTACTAAAAATACAAAAATTAGCCAGGTGTGGTGGTGTGCATCTGTAGTTGCAGCTACTTGGGAGGCTAATGCATGAGAATAGCTTGAACCCGGGAGGCAGAGGTTGCAGTGAGCCAAGATGGTGTTACTGCACTCCAGCCTGGGAGACAGACCTACAGTCTGTCTGAAATAATAATAATAATAATAATAATTTCAACAAAATGATGGATGCTGAGTATGAAAAACTGCTGGATGGGGAAACACACTTCCAAGAACCCTAGCAGTTTCTTATGGTGAAGAAGTTTCTTATGAATCTATCAGGTGGACACAGAATAATCTTTGTGTAACATGCCAGAGAATTCTCCATAACAAGAAAGGGCCCACTCTCCAGGGGCGTAAACATTACTAAAATCTTATTCCAGTTGGTAGGAGATTATTCCTCACCTCCATTTATTCCCTTTTAGCCCTGTCTCTCATATAGATGGAAAAAAGCTATACTACTGGTTGTTTGGGAAGTCACAGACAAGAGAGACAGGCCTACGAAAAGACTGTATATAATCTTATTCAATCATAGATTATATACATCTCTCCCTCCCTGACACCTTACCCTCATATTAATAAAGCTTCAGTATATTAACAGAGGATATAGCTTAAAAACTGCAGGACACAGACTGTCCCTGAAGAGGAGTACTTAAGGAAGCCAAAAATCAAGGTGGGAAACAAAAAGGGACACTAGAGGCATTTGAAGCCTCTGGCACCTACAGCTACAGAAAACATTAAACACACTCAAAGAAGGCATCTACTAAGAAAAAAAATCTGCTATTCACTTATAGACTAAAGGGCTTGCATCCAAAATATGCAAGGAACTCAGATAACTCAACAGTAAGAAATCAACCCATTTTAAAAATGGGCAACATATCTGAACACTTGACTAAAGAAGATATATAGATGGCAAATAGCATATGAAATGATGTTCAATATCCTTTGTCACTAGAGCAAACAGCTGTGAGAAGTACCACTAGATTAAAACAGCTAAATACCACTAGATTAAAACAGCTGTGAGAAATACTACCACATACTTATTAAAATAGTTAAACTTCGACAAATGGACATCACCAATTGCTGATGGGGGTGGGAAGCAACAAGAATTTTTATTCATTGATGGTGGAAATGCAAAATGTTACAGTTAGTCCATTTGGAAAGATAGGTTGGCAGATTCTTACAAAGCTAAAAATAGTTTTACAGTATCATCCAGTAGTCATACTTCTAGGTATTACCCAACTGCTTAAAAAACTTATGTCCATGAAAAAATCCACAAGCAAATATTTATAGCAGCTTCATTCATAATTGCCAGAAGCTGAAAGTAATTGAGATGTCCTACAGTAGGTGAATGGAGAAACAAACTGTAGTACATCCATACAGTGCATACTATTCCATGATAGAGACATGCCATCTAGCCACACAAAAACATGAAAGAATTTTAAATACAAATTGCAAAATGAAATAAACCAGTCTGAAAAGGTTACCTACTGTATGATTCTATCTATATGATATTGCACAAAATGCAAAATTATAGAGAGGCTAACAGGTTGTTAAGAGTTTGGGAAGAGGGAAGGGTTGAATAGGTGAATAATAGTGGGTTGTTTAGGGTTGTAAAACTATTCTGTATAATACAGTAATGGTGGACACATTACACTATATAGGTGTCAGATGCATAGAACTTTATGGCACAAATATTAAAACTTAATGTATGCAAATTTTTAAAAAATCATCTAGGAAGTCTGAGATCCCAGGATGGAACATTTACTGTGATAATAGAGTCAAACTATATTACATATGTATGAAATAATCTTGCTGTGGGAGGCAAAGGAAAGATGATGATCTAAATAACTGAAAACGATTGGATACTTATAAGACTAAAAACAAAAAGAATTGTACATAAGTTCTATATTTTCATAATATTGTTTCCCCTGGAAAAACAAATAAACAATTCCAATATTGCCATATATGTATAATGGAAAATAATACTGGGTTAGAATTGGGAGACATCTCTACAAACTTGTGTACAGTATAATATAGAAACAGAGGTGGTAACATACAGAGATATGTACAGAATTGAATATATACAAAACTAGTATACACACATGTATTTCATCGCTATGTCAGCTGAGAGAGTCTAGAAGCAATGACACTGCAGGAGCAATGAATATACCTAGCACACAGATCTTAGTTTCTAATGCCATTCTTCAAAAAAAGGAACAAAGTTTCCTTGGACAAACAGTTTATTCTAGCTCTAGGGGAGGGAATATAAAAATGAACCCAGAATATATTGTACTGTGCCAGAAGAAAGGACATATTTCACATTTGCCAGGTATTTAATTGCCATTTGATTGTGAGTTCTTACTGACTTTGTTAGATTAATTGTTTCATAACATATATTTCTTATTTTTATTTTTATTTGAGGCTTGGGGGTATATGTGAAGGTTTGTTACATAGATAAACACATGTCATGGGGGGTTGTTGTATGTATTATTACATCACCCAGGTATTAAACTCAGTATCCAACAGTTATCTTTTCTGCTCCTCTCTCTCTTCCCACCCTCGCCCCTCAAGTAGACCCCAATGTCTGTTATTTCCTTCTTTGTGTTTTTAAGTTCTTATCATTTAGCTCCCACTTGTGAGAACATTCAGTATTTGGTTTTCCTGTTTATTCCTGCATTAGTTTGCTAAAGATGATAGCATGCAGCTCCATCTGTGATCCCGCAAAAGCCATGATCTCATTCTTTTTTTATGTACAATGAGATTTGGAGTTTAATTAAAATCAGAATGGGGATACATTAAGCAGACAAACAAAAATACTTTTCTGATTATCAATTTTAGAGACTCAAAGCATTCCCTAAATACTGGAGATCCAGCATATTCCTGAGAGACATCAACCATCACAAAAGATTTTCATTCTTTGAACTATTCATATTTTTGTAGCAGAAAACACAACAAAGTTCTGCAGACATCCTTCCTCTCTTGTTTCTAAACTATATTCACAAACAGGTTCTTTTCGTAGATCAAAAGGAAAACAAACATGTTTCTTTTTTGGCCAATTGGCCTGTTACTCACACCTTGGGATCTGATTTCTTGATAAGAGGGCTCAAGGCACCAAATACAACCAGAAATTCCCAGCCACTACCAGTGGCTACTTTACTTAACTACGAGGAGATGGATGCTTTAGTCTTTCTATGGAGAGTCATTCTTCACAGATTATTATGCAGGGCACTAGTCCCAGGAAAGGTGGGTGAAGAGGAGGGTAAATGCAAAAGCTAAAGGGTCAGGGAAAACAATGAGGCTTTCATGAACAATCCATGGCAAGGCAGAATTAAACAGTTTTACAAACCACTCACTATAAACTCCAAACATGCACACTCAAAACTAGAGGGGTAAGGAAAGAGCTCCTGGAGGGCTGGGGGCGACAAAAGATGGTGACATAGAACAGCAGACTCGCCTATGAACATTTCTCACCTTTCTAACACTGGAAGATGTTTCATTAAAAAGGTGCTGTTCAAAATTGCACTGAAAAATCTCTAAAAATAGGCCTGAAGTCATAAAAATAAAAGGCCACTCCTCAGATAAGAGAACTGACAGATATTCTCGGAAACAAACACTTGAGGTATCTTTGATGTACATTTGAAAAATGGCCTGGCAGAGAAAAAGGAAGAAAAGGAAGGAGAGAGGAAGACAGTGAGGGAGGAAGAGAGGGAGAGAAGAAAAGGAAGGGAAATTCAGAGTACAATAGGAAAGACAAGAGAACAAAGGAGGAACACATTTTTTAAGCCCATACTTATCTATCCCAGCAGCCAAATAAAGCAGATCCACAAAGGAAAAAAAAAAAAAAACTGCAGTTCTTCTCTAGGAACATTCTAAAAATCAACTTCAAACTCAAAACATAAGAAACTGCAATCTGAGAACAAATATCACAATGCTCACTGTATTTAAAAGTGACTACTGAGAGTGGGTACTCAAGTGGGTCAACACTCTACAGAGATCATTCTTAGGCATTATCGGACAAAATACTGTGATCAAACCTTACCCACCAAGTGGAGATTAAATTTCCTCTATTGCTTGGTATGGTGCTGTTCTGGGAACAGACAAAATCACTTCACTGTCTTCAAGTACAACAGGACTTCAGCCAGAGCCGCACCATCCCCAGCCGCACCGTGGCCATCAGCGACGCTGCACAGTTACCTCATGACTACTGCACCACACAGGGTTGCGGGGGAGGGGGGGCACTCTTCTCACCACACGGGGAGGAACTCAAATCTTTTATGATAGAAAGTTTCTGTTGGATTATTGCAATTCTCCCATGGTTCAGACCCCACCCTGCCATCTACCAAATATCCCAGAAGT
This sequence comes from Homo sapiens, assembly GCF_000001405.40. Classification (NCBI taxonomy): domain Eukaryota; kingdom Metazoa; phylum Chordata; class Mammalia; order Primates; family Hominidae; genus Homo; species Homo sapiens. The sequence goes on along the minus strand of NC_000006.12, from coordinate 98,179,619 downwards.
CACTAGCCCTGGCACCTTAATCGAAGACTCCAGAGTAGAAGTAAACAATTTGAACAACATAAACAATCATGAGAGGAAACACGCAGTTGGGGATGATGCTCAGTTTGAGATGGGCATCTGACTCTCCTGCAAGGATTAGAAGAAAAGCAGCAATGTAGATACTTGTGTGCACCTGATTTGGCCAATAGGATCAACAATGAAAGACAGATGATGCAATACCAGCAGTCCCCATCACAGTCTCTACCTCCCTCTCTTCTTCTGGGTGGCAAATGATGAGAAGATGATCTTCATCTGACCATTTCTTCTCCCTGTCTCCTGTTCCCCTTCCTGGTTAAACAGGATAGATTGAGGGCCCTTGGTGTATTTCTGTAGAGCTAAGCAGCCCTTAGAGGAAAACAAATAAATTGGATTTCCTAGTTGTTTTTTTAATTGAGAGCCACCCCCTCATACCCCTGCAATTTTGTCCCAAATCAAGTATCAACCTACCAACAACTGCCTGGCTGGGAAGTCTGTGGAAGGGATACAGAGGCTTTGTGTGTTTAACATCATTCATGTTCCTTACCCTCTGTCTCTCCTCCCTGTATCCCACCTATGGTTCAGTGCTGCAAGAGTCTGGGCTTCGGGTCTTTAAAACCATCAGGGAGAAATGATAAAAAAGAGAGCTGCTTTCCCTCTTATCTTGAGGTGTTTCTCCCTTGGAACAGAGCACAGTTTGTGCAACTCTGGTAGCAGTACCCTGTGACATTGTTTTGTGCTCCACTTCCCTTCTTGCTTCTGGGAGGAATGCCTTCTGTCTCTGGTATTATAGCTCATCTTCCCATTCTTTTACTTAGTGCATTTGTGCAGATATTTTTAACTCTCTATATCAGAAGAGAGCCCTTGACAACCAGCTTTGCTCCTCTTCTACCATTACTCCCTGCTTGTATCTTGTTGCCAGCAGAGTCCTCTTGTACTTCAAGATCTTGCCCATTTTTATGACTGCATAATATTCCATGGTGTATACGTAGCACATTTTCCTTATTCAGTCTGTCATTAATAGGCATTTAGGTTGATTGCATGTCTTAGCTATTGCAAACAGTGCAGGATTGAACATTTGCATGCACGTGTCTTTATGGTAGAATGCTTTATATTTATCTGGGTATATATTCAGTAATGGGATTGCTGGGTAGAATGGTAGTTCTGCTTTTAGCTCTTTGAGGAATTGCCATACTGCTTTCCACAATGGTTGAACTAATTTACCATTGGGAATGATACACTCCCAGCAACAGTGTATAAGTATTCCCTTTCTCTGAAACCTCATCACAATCTACTATTTTTTTGACTTATTAATAATAGCCATACTGACTGGTGTGAGATGGCAGTTTTCATTTACATTTCTTTGATGACACATAATTTTGAGCTTTTATTCATATGCTTGTTGGTGGCTTGTATATCTTCTTTTGAGAAGTGTCTGTTCGAGTCCTTTAAACACTTTTTAATGGGGTGGTTTGTTTTTCTCTTGTAAATTTGTTTAAGTTCCTTATAGACGCTGGATGTTCAACCTTTGTAAGATGCATACTTTGCAAAAATTTTCTCCCATTCTGTAGGTTATCTGTTTACTCTGATAGTTTCTCTTGCTGCACAGAAGCTCTTTAGTCTTTGACTTTGTTGTGATTGCTTTTGATGTCTTTGTTATGAAATTTTTGCCTGTTCCTAGGTCCAGGATGGTAATGTCTCAGTTGTCTTCTAGGGCTTTTATAGTTGGGTTTTACATTTAAGTCTTTATTCCATCTTGAGTTGCTTTTTATATATGGTATAAGGAAGAGGTCCAGCTTCGATCTTCTGCATATGGCTAGCCAGTCATCTCAGTGCCATCTGTTGAATAGGGAGTCTTTTCCCATTGCTTGTTTTTGTCAGCTTTGCTGAAGATCTGATGGTCGTACATGTGCAGCCTTATTTCTTGTCTCTTCTTTCTGTTCTATTGGTCTATGTGCCTATTTTTGTACCAGTACCATGCTGTTTTGGTTACTGTAGCCTCATAGTATAGTTTGAAATCAGGTACTGTAATTTCTCCAGCTTTGTTCATTTTTCTTATAATTGCCTTGACTATTGAGGCTCCTTTTTGGTTCCATATGACTTTTAAAATAATTTTTTCTAGTTCTGTGAAATGTCATTTGTAGTTTGATAGGAATAGCACTGAATCTGTAGATTGTTTGGGTCACAATTGCCATGATATTGATTCTTCCAATCCATGAACATGGGATGTTTTTCCATTCATTTGTGTCTTCTCTGATTCCTTGAGCAGTGTTTTGTAATTCTCAGTGTAGAGATCTTTCACCTCCTTGGTTAGCTGTTTTCCTAGGAATTTTATTTTATTTTATTGTGTGTGTGTGGCAATTGTGAATGATATTGCCTTTCTCATTTGGATATTAGTTTGGTTGTTGTCGGTGCATAGCAATGCTAGTAATTTTTGTACATTGATTTGGTATCCTGCAACTTTGCTGAAGTCATCAGCTGAAGGAGCTTTTGGACTGTGACTATGGTGTTTTCTAGAACAGAATCCTGTCATCAGCAAACAGAGATAGTTTGACTTTCTCTTTTCCTATTTGGATGCCTTCATTTCTTTCTCTTGCCTGATTGCTCTGGCTAGGACTACCAATACTGTATTGAATAGAAGTGGTGAGAGAGGGCATCTTTGTCTTGTGCTGGTTTTCAAGGAGAATGCTTCCAGCTTTTTCCCAATGTTGGCTGTAGGTTTCTCATAGATGGCTCTTATTATTTTGCAGTATGTTCCTTAAATACCTAGTTTATTGAGAGTATTTAATATGAAGGAATGTTGAATTTTATCAAAACCCTTTTCTCCATCTACTGAGAGAATCATGTGGGTTTTGTCTTTAGTTCTGCTTATGTGATGAATCACATTTATTGATTTGTGTATGTTGAAATATCCTTGCATCCCAGGGATGAAGCCTACTTGATCATGGTGGATTAGCTTTTTAATGTGCTGTTGGATTTGGTTTGCAAGTATTTTGTTGAGGATTTTTGCATCAATGTTCATCAAGGATATTGAACAGAAGTTTTTGTTGTTGTTGTTGTGTCTCTGCCAGGTTTTGGTATCAAGATGATGCTGGCCTCAGAAAAATGAGTTAGGGAGAAGGCCATCCTCCTCAATTTTTTGGAATAGTTTCTGTGGATATGGTACTAGCTCTTTTTTTGTACATCTGTTAATATTTGGCTATGAATCCATTAGGTCTTGGTCTTTTTTCATTGGTAGGTTATTTATTGCTGATTCAATTTTGGAGCTCATTAATGATCTGTTCAGGGAATTAATTTCTTTCTGGTTCAATCTTGGGAGGCTGTATGTGTCCAGCAATCTATCCATCTCTTCTAGGTTTTCTAGTTTGTGTGTGTGTAAGGGTTTTTGTAGTACTTTCTGATGATTGTTTTTATTTCTGTGGAGTCAGTAGTAAGATTCCCTTTGTCATTTCTACTTGTATTTATTTGGATCATCTTTCTTTTCTTCTTAATTAGTCTAACTAGTGGTCTATTTATTTTAGTAATTTTTTGAAAAAAACCAACTCCTAGATTCATTGATCTTTTGAATTTTTTTTTTTTATATTTCAATTTCCTTCAATTCAGCTCTGAGATTTGTTATTTGTCATTTTCTGCTAGCTTTGGGGTTGATTTGTTCTTGCATCTCTAATTCTTTCAGTTGTGAAGTTTGTCTGTTAATTTGAGATCTTTCTAACTTTTTGATGTGGGCATTTAGCGCTAAGAATTTCTGTCTTAACATTGCCTTAGCTGTGTCCCAGAGATTCCAGTATGTTGTATCTTTATTCTCATTATTTTCAAAGACGTTTTTGATTTCTGCCTTAATTTCATTATTTACCCAAAAGTCATTCAGGAGCATGTTGCTTAATTTCCATGTAATTGCATGATTTTGAGCAATTGTCATTGTGATGACTTCGATTTTTATTGTGCTGTGGTCCAACAGTGTGTTTGGTGTGATTTCAGTTCTTTTACATTTGTTGAGGATTGTTGTATGCCTAATTATGTGGTCAATTTTAGAGTATGTGCCATATGGCAATGAGAAGAATGTATAATCTGTTGTTTGGTGGGGACTGGTCGGGGGGTGGAGATGTCTCTAAAGGTCTAGCAGATTCATTCGGTCCAATGCTGAGTTTAAGTCCTAAATATCTTTGTTAATTTTCTGCCTTAATGATATATAGGAGCCAACTAAAAATGATCTCAACAGTCAAAGTTTGAACAATTAGAGCAACAAAATAATTTAACTTTAGATGACAACCCAAAACATCAAGTAAATATCTGAGTCCATTCTGATAAAAAAAAATGATTGAATAAATAAATACATGGAAGAAAATACATGAGTCTTCTGTGCAGAAGAATTTCAAATAATTTATGCAGATACTTCACTCGCAAGGAGGTGAAGCATAACTGCTTACTCCTTAAGAATTTGGGCTGTATATGGTGACTTACTTCCAAAGAGTACAGCATGTAAGGGGGAAAAAAGTAATTTTACAGTGGAGTAACCTGACTCAAACTATTTCAGTCAAGTAATCATTCACAGCAACAGTGATAAGTCTTTTTGGTGGTATGTACCTTGATACGATTTGATGAGAATGTCACTTTACCTCTGTAGTTTTTCTCCCCAAAATCCATAACCTAATTCTAATCATGAAGAAAATTATACAAATGCCAATTGAGGGCTATTCTGCAAAATACCTGACCAGTACTCCTCAAAACTATCCAGGTTACCAACAACAAGAAAAGTCTGAGAAATGGTCACAGACAAGAGGAAGCTAAGAAGATATAAAAACTAAGTGCAATGTAGGATCTTGGATGGTATCCTGGAACATAAAAAGTAAATTAGGTAAAAACTAAAGAAACTTGTATAAAGTATGAAAATTAGTTATTAATAATGTATCATCATTGATTTAGCAGTAGTAACCATACTTGTTAACAATAGAGAACACTGGGTGCTGGAACTCTACATTATCTTCACAATTTTTTCTATAAATCTAAAACTGTCCTAAGGTAAAAGTTTATTTTTATAAAATTTATTCTTAATGCAGAAAAGTTCTAAAGCACAAACTATCATTTTTTTTTTTTTTTACCCCTGCATCCTTCCCCTGCTACATCTGCTGCCTGATTTACACACCCTTTGAAATCATATCTCATTAGGTAACTCTCCATGGCACACACTGCTTTCTTTAGATGATTTCACAGCTTTTCTTCTGTATGGGGTAACCATATTATTCACCTGTAATTTTATTAAATAAGTTTTAAGAGTCTTTTTTTAATGAACTTTTGGAAATGTGCTTTCCATGTCTGTCTAGTAATGTCTTTTTTTCTGGTTATGCTATAAGGTGGTTCAGTGTGCAAGTTTTGTGAAATACACTAAAAGTTGACAATACTTTCATGTACTTAAAACTTCTGCACTGTGCTAATTATATTTATTATGTGTGAGTTATACTAAGAGGAGTAAAATGTGATACGCTCTAAGATTAAAATGATAAGATTATATAGCCACTTCTGTCACTTCTACTTAATAATGTTCTTTTGGTCAGAGTTAAGTGTCATATCTTTTTAGCAAGAGTTAAGAACAGTTGGTTCCATCTTGCTGGTAGTGTATATGTAATAAATTAAATATCTCTGCAAGTCAAACAGCTTCCAGGCATTCTACTTTTTACATAAGGAGATCTTTAGCCCGTATTATGATTGGCAGGATCTCCTAGTAATATTATATTTTGTTTACTTCAGTTGTAAAATCTACCACAGAAAAACTCCATCAATGTCTTTGACTAGCATAAGGAGAAGCAGTTTTACCACTGCATAATATTCTTGATTGCAAAGTATATACAGTTAAGGTGGTGTAATTTTCCTGATCTTATACTTAGTATGAGGCCTGATGACTTATATTAAAAACAAAGAAAGGAAAGGAAAAGGCAGAGTAAGTCATTCCATGAAGTGCATAGAATAGAGTAGGACAAATAATGGCAGGTGAGATTGAAATGCTGAAGAAATTTGAGGAAATGTGTCAAGATTCAATATCAAAAAGCATGGCAAGTTTAGTTGTGACTGAAAATAGTGAACTGAGTGATTTCTGAGAAGAGATAGCAAGATTCTTATCAAGTGTCTGAAACATTATAATGTAAAATCCAAGTCTGAAGTTATGCATTGGCTACAAATACATGTGTCAAAGTCCTCAAAATGACAAAGCTACAGTTTAGGGTCTTTATTAGTCAGGATTCTCTAGAGGGACAGAGCTAATAGGAGATATATATATATGAGTTTATTAAGTATTAACTGACATGATCACAAGGTCCGACAATAGGCTGTCTGCAACCTGAGGAGCAAGGAAAGCCAGTCTGAGTCCCAAAACTGAAGAACTTGGAATCTAATGTTTGAGTGCAGGAAGCATCCAGCACAGGAGAAAGATGTAGGCTGGGAGGCTAGGCCAGTCTAGTCTTTTCACGTTTTTCTGCCTGCTTTATATTCTAGCCATGCTGGCAGCTAATTAGATGGTGCCCACCCAGATTACGGGTGGGTCTGCCTTTCCCAGCCCACTGACTCAAATGTTAATCTCCTTCAGCAACACCCTCACAGACACACCCAGGATCAATATTTTGCATCCTTCAATCCAATCAAATTGACACTCAGTATTAACCATCACAAGTCTATCACTTGTCAACTTGAACCCATACACATCTCATAAGATCATACATAATCTTCAAATAAAGACAATAATAAGGTCATAATTATGCCTAACATAATACAGTTATCCTTCATACAACTGGAAATGCACCAGTCCCCAACCCAAATACTATTATATAAAGTTAACAACACTTAAATGCTGACATGAAGCCAATAAATCTATGTCACATGATAAAGGAAAAAGAAAATAGAATGAAGATATTTTCTTAGTACAAGTATATACATGCACAGACATATTTTTAACAAAAGAAGGAGGAAATATGGCAATTACAGTCCTCCTTTCTTCAACTGGTCACATGGTCATAGCTGGTATTGATGACTACCTTCTTCTATTACCCATTCTGTATTCCCTTTGCCTTCAACAAGCACCTCAGCAGGTCGTGCTTTTTTTCCTAGTGGAGTGACACAAACCTTCCTTCCTGAAAGGTCTGGGCCATTTGTAGTCTTGCTTGGATTGGGCTGTGGTAGTTTCTCATTGATCTTAATCACAGGGCATGGTAATACTAAGAGACACCCTAATGGGTCTCCTGTATTTCATGCATACTCTTACTTACCTCTGTTGTGGGGTAGTAGACTGATTTCAACTTGATAGTCTGGATCAATCACCCCAGCCAACACTGTAACTCCCTTCTTAGCCTGTTGACTTAAAGGTAGGAGGATTCCACTTTGGGAGGCTGAGGTGGGCAGATCACGAGGTCAAGAGATCGAGACCATCCTGGCTAACACAGTGAAACCCCATCTCTACTAAAAATACAAAAATTTAGCCAGGCGTGGTGGCGGGCACCTGTAGTCCCAGCTACTTGGGAGGCTGAGGCAGGAGAATGGCATGAACCCAGGAGGCAGAGCTTGCAGTGAGTTGAGATTGCACCACTGCACTCCAGCCTGGGCGACAGAGTGAGATTACATCTCAAAGCAAACAAACGAACAAACAACAACAATAACAACAAACAAATAAAGGTAGGAGGATCCCAAAGTGTCCAGGTGGCAATCTTAACTTCTAGTTTAATGGAATAATTGTTGTGTCTCCTGGTGGCAGCATTCCTCCCTCTGGAACTGAGACCTCTATGCCAGAAGAACGTAATGTCATGAGAACAGGAAGCAAAAATTTTGCTAGCGGATCACTAGGGGTGATGGTGAGTGGTGCCGCTGCCACTTCCACACTTTGATTCCTGGACCCCTGAATCATGGCTATGGAAGAAACAGTACCATATATTGACACTGATTCAGAGCATACACAGCATTCTGGAAACTTTGCCCCAGGCCTGCAAAGTATTGTCACCTAGTCGGCATTGTAATTGTGACTTCAAAAGGCCATTCCACCATTCTATTAATCCAGCTGCTTCTGGATGGGGAACATGGTAAAACCAGTGATCTATGAGCATGAGCCCACTGTAACACTTATTTAGCCGTAAAGTTAGTGCCTTGGTCAGAGGCAATGCTGTGTGGAATACCATGATGGTGGATAAGGCATTCCGTGAGTCCCCGGATGGTAGGGTTGGAAGAAGCATTGTGTGCAGGACAGGCAAACCCGTATCTGCCCTTTACATCATGGAAGAAGTCCAATATAATCAACCTATCACAAGGTAGCTGGCTGAGCACCCTGAGGAATGGTGCCATATAGAAGGCTCAGTGTTGGTCTCTGCTTCTGGCAAATTGGGTACTCAGTAGTGGCCTTAGCCAGGTGAGCCTTAGTGAGTGGAAGTCCATGTTGCTGAGACCATGCATGACCTCCATCCCTGCCACCATGGCCACTTTATTCATGGGCCAATTGGGCAATGACAGGGGTAGCTGGGGAAAGAGGCTGAGTGGTGTCCACAGAATGGGTCATTCTATCCACTTGATTATTAAAATCCTCCTCTGCTGAGGTCACACATTGGTGAGTACTCACATGGGATAAAAATATCTTCACAGTTTTTGAGCACTCAGAGAAGTCCATCCACATACCTCTTCCCCAGATTTCTTTGTCACCAATTTTCCAATCATGCTTCTTACACGTTCCTGACCATCCAGCCAAACCACTGGCTACAGCCCATGAATCAGTATATAATTGCACATCTGGCCATTTCTCCTTCCATGAAAAGTGCACAGCCAGGTGCCCTGTTCAAAGTTTTGCCCACTGGGAAGATTTCCCTTCACCACTGTCCTTCAGGGATGTCCTAGAAAGGGGCTGTAGTGCTACAGCTGTCCACTTTTGGGTGATGCCTGCATGTCATGCAGAACCATCTGCGAACGAGGCCTTAGTCTTTTCTTCCTCTGTCAGCTGATCATAGGGAACTCCCCAGGAGGCTATCAGTGCAGGCTGGGAAAGAGAAGGCAGGGTGGCAGGAGTGGAGATCATGGGCATTTGAGCCACTTCCTCATGTAACTTACTTCTGCTTTCAGGATCTGCTCAAGCCCAATCACATATATACCACTTCCATTTGATGATGGAATGATGCTGTGCACAATCCACTTTATGGCTAGATAAGTTAGCAAACACCCAGTTCATGATAGGCAGTTCAGATCTCATGGTGGCTTGATGACCCACAGTCAAACGTTCAGTTTCCACCAAAGCCCAGTAATAGGCCAACAGCTATCTCTCAAAAGGAGAGTAGTTATCTGCAGAAGATGGCAGGGCTTTGCTCCAAAATCCTAGAGGCCTCCACTGTGATTCACCTATGGGGGCCTGCCAGAGGCTCCAAACAGCATATCCATTAGCCAACGACACCTGAAGCACCATTGGATCTGCTGGGTCATGTGGCCCAAATGGCAGAGCAGCTGCACAGCAGCCTGGACCTGTTGCAGAGCCTTCTCCTATCCTGGACCCCACTCAAAGCTGGCAGTGTTTTGGGTCACTCAATAAACGGGCACGAGTAACACACTGAAGTGAGGAATGTGTTGCCTCCAAAATCAAAATAGCCCCACTAGGCATTGTGCCCCTCTCTTGGTTGTAGGAGGGGAAAAATACAGCAAATTATCCTTTACCTTAGAAGGAATATCTTGACATGCCCCACACCATTGGACCCCTAGACATTTTACTGAGGTAGAAGGTCCCTAAATTTTAGTAGGATTTATTTCCCATCCTCTGGCATGCAAACATCTCCCCAATAAATCCAGTGTGTTTGCTACTTCTTGCTCACTGGATCCAATAAGCATAATGTCATCAACGTAATGGAACAGTGTGGTATCTTGCAGAAGCAAAAAACAATCAAGTTCTTTCCGAATAAGATCATGACACAAAGCCAGAGAGTAGATATACTCCTGAGATAGGACAGTAAAGGCATATTGATGGCCTTGTCAGCTGAAGACAAATTGCTTCTGGTGGGCCTTATGGACAGGAATGGAGAAAAAGCCACTTGCCAAGTCAATGGCTGCATACCAGGTACCAGGAGATGTGTTAATTTGCTTAAGTAATGAAAACACATCTGGTACAGCAGTTGCAATTCGAGTCATCACTTGGTTAAGCTTACAATAATCCACTGTCATTCCCGAAGATCCATCTGTCTTCTGCACAGGCCAAATAGGAAAGTTGAGCAAGGATGTGGTGGGAATCACCACCCCTGCATCTTTCAATCGTGGCACTAATCTCTGCAATCCCTCCAGGGATGCAATATTGTTTTTGATTTACTATTTTTCTAGATAGAGGCAGCTCTAATGGTTTCCATTTGGCCTTTCTTACCATAATAGCCCTCACTCTACCAGTCAGGGAACCAATATGGGGGTTCTGCCAGCTGTTAAGTATGTCTATGTCAATTATGCATTCTGGCACTGGGGAAATGACCACAGGATGAGTCCGGGGACCCAGTGGACCCACTGAAAGCTGGACCTGAGCTAAAACTCCATTAATTGCCTGACCTCCATAAGTCCCTAGGTTAACTGGAGGACCACAATGACATTTTGGGTCGCAGGAACCAATGTCAGTTCAGAGCCAGTATCCAAAATATCTGATCACTTCCCTTTACCCAATAAAGTTACCCTGGTGAAAGGCCAGAGGTCTCCTTGGGAAAGGATGAGAGAAAGATTCACTGCATAAATTGTTGGTAGTGTAATGGGGTCTTTCCTCAAGGGTACCCAGCCACCCCTTCATTTAAGGGGATCTGGGTCTATAAGCTGGCTCAAGTCTGGAAATTGATTACAGGGCCATGATTCTTTGTTTTGATAATTCAAATTAGTCTTTCATCCACTCGACCTGGAAGTTTTCAGTTTATATAAATTAAGTAGGAATGCAGTAGGCTTACTACCAATTTCATTTCTAGAAACACTGTGATTCATTAGCCAATGCCAGAGCTCTACATGAGTCAGACTATTCTGATTGCCCCTTTGCCTCTGCTGTCCATTATGGTAGCTACGCCCACCTTGCCTTTGATGGTTGATTGCTACCACTTGGCCCTTGCCACCTCAGAATCCAATTATTCCCATTGTATTTAAATTTTGTAGTTGAGTGACTGTGGTTCCCACTGTTAGATCTGGCATACAGAGAAGAGAAATTACAGGGCTATTCAAAGATGCAGGTGCTGCAACTATTTCACTCTCACAAATCTATTTCATAAGGCATTGGTCAAGGGTATATCTTCTGGACCCTCCCAGCTAGGATGAGTAGGTCTAAAGTGACTAATCCACTCCACCATCCCATTCTCCCTAAGCCTTTTGATCCCTTCCTCTACATTAAACCAGGGGATATCAGGCATTTCCACCTCACTCACAGTGGGCCATCTTTTAATCCATATTTCCACTAACCAAGCAAATAAACTATTACAACCTTTTTTAACTCCCCAAGCTGCAACATTAAATACAGAGTCCCTACTTATTGGGCCCAAATCAATAAATTCAGCCTCATCCAACTTTATGTTCCTTCCACACCCTTAATATCCATTTCCATGCCTGTTCTCCAGATTTCCGTTTATATAAATTAGAAAACTCAAGCAGTTATTTTTGAGTGTAGGGCACCTCCTCATGGGTCACACTCTCAACCTCACATCTAGGGGCCAACGAGGACTTTAGTCTAGTTATAGCTCTAGAAGCAAATGGGGTGTTGGGGGTGGGTCCTGAGGAGAGTCAACATTATCTTGTCTGGCAACTGCCTCAGGGGAGGCCATCACTCTTGCCTCACGCAGTTCAGGGTTAATCTCCTCAAAGAAAGGTTGAAAGGCTGATAGCAGCATAGTTCATGGAGGGGATGTTGCCACTACTGGGGATGGGGAAGCTGTCTTTTCTGGCAAAAAAGGTTCATCAGAGTTTACAAACTCAGTGTCGCATGCTTCAGCAGAGTTCCCCCACACATCCCCATTCCAAGTTGCAGGGTCCCATTCTTTTCCAATCAATGCCCTCACTCTAACAGTAGACACCTGCCAAAGCTGTGCATGCACCTTGCATTGCAGGTCAGCCACTCACATGATAAGAGCTTGTGTCTGTTTGTCCACAATTTCAGCTCTTTCTCTACAGGAGATAAGACTCACTCAGGGCAATCTTAGCAGATTTAGGCTCAGTACCTGCTTCTGAAGCCAGGAGTTAGAATCCCTGAGTTCATCATTTTCTTTCATCACTTTGTTCGGTGAACTTAGGAGCAACCAACCAGCTTCGTTATGTTCCTTGGTTCTCCACATATGGTCAAAGGCATTATGTATAGAGTCACTAAACTCCTTGCCTCTTACGAGTGGTGAATGAGGAGTGTCAAGTGCATTTACATTTCATAACTCTCTAAACAGTTCATGCCAAGGACTATCAGTGTTCTCCATACCATTAGAAGTAGAGTCCTTAGCATTTTGATGTCTAATCATATTAAGAAGCCAACTCCAGAAACCCCAAAACCAAAGAAAGAACTCAATTTTTACTATTCAGTTCCTCTAGAACCACTCCTGGTACCAAAATCTGTATTAGTCAGGATTCTCTAGAGGGACAGAAGTAATAGGGACACAATACATATATATGGGAGTTTATTAAGTATTAACTCACAGGATCACAAGGTCCCACAATAGGCCGTCTGCAACCCGAGGAACAAGGAAAACCAGCCTGAGTCCCAAAACTGAAGAACTTAGAGTCTAATGTTCAGGGGCAGGAAGCATCCAGCACAGGAGAAAGATGTAGGCTGGGAGGCTAGGCCAGTCTAGTCTTTTCATGTTCTTTTGCCTGCTTTATATTCTAGCCACACTGGCAGCTGATTAGATGGTGCCTACCCAGATTAAGGGTGGGTCTGCCTTTTTCAGCCCCCTGACTCAAATGTTAATCTCCTTTGGCACACCCACAGACACACCCAGGATCAATACTTCATATCCTTCAATTCAATCAAGTTGACACTCAGTATTAACGATCACAGGGTCACATCTGCAAGCCCCAAAAGTAATACCAATAGTGAGATCAAAAAACAGACAAATAAACTACACCAACAAAACTAAACCCAAAGGAAATACTATCTTGAAACTATGGGCTCATGTAGACACATGACTGGAGTTAGATAAAATAAGTTGTTAGTACCTTAGGTTTGACTATTGGATGTCCTATTGGATGACAACTAGAAGAATAGAGGCACTGGGGCTCATTTCCAGATGGGATGTGATTGTGACCTTTCCTCCCAGTTTGTTAAAGAATTGTTTGACATTTCCAAAGCTAATGAGGAGGGCATGCACATTGAGTTGAACATTTAATATTTAGATGGGTATGTCCAGCTGGTTAATCCTTGTTATCTCTGCTGATCTGCTGATCACATAGTTGTCAGCTAATGCTTTTAGAACATAATATTGTTTTTAAGCAAAACTAACCAATGATAGCATGGCTCATTTGTAGCAGTTATTTCTGGCTTCCACCCTGGTCTCCAAATTCATTTGATAGTCACTCACTCTATCATATCCAAGACCTGATACTCTGCCCATAATATATTGTCTGTATTCTTTGAATATACTATGTTAAGTGATCTTTATCTGCCTTTTTGGGTGCTGATTCTGATATCTGGTATTCCCTCACCACCATGTCCGTTCAAAATTTCAATCTATTCTTCAAGATTCAGCATTAGTATTATTGCCTAATAGCAGCTTGTCCTGATTACACATATCTTGTTTTACTCTACCTACATGACATTTATTTGTTAATCTCCAACTATATTATAAGCTCCTCTACTAGGCAAAGATCTTTTTATCAACTGGGATGAAGATATCCTTTGGTTTGTAGTAAGCCTTTATTAGATATTTATTGATTTAAATTTAAGTACGCTTGGTGGCCTTCAAAGACATTCTTCTGTTGTTATCTTTTGTGACATTCCTTGATACATAGTAGGTAAGTAAATAAGTAAGTAAATGCTTACTGAACTTAATTGACATGTGTGAGATGGCCCAAAGAGATCATGTATGCCTCTCATTGCATAAGCATGACTGTCTCTCCATTCATCCATTCTTCCATCTAGTTTTATAGAATAATAGTATGTAGAAGTTAAGCGCATGAGTTCTGGAGACAGGTTTCTGCCTCCACTTTTTATGCATAAGTACTCTGTGATTTAGTTTTTTCATTTGCAAAATGAAGTTACTAATAGTATCTACTTTTTATTTAGTAAGTTATAAATGTTGGCCATCATTACACAAAAGTTGGCTTGAAAAGCATCCCTTCTTCAAATTTGAGCATAGAAATCAAACACTATATTCCTAATATAAACTTTATGGTACTTGGCAAGTACTTAGCACATGTATACTGGAGCAAAAGTGCTCAATTAATAGTCGTTATCCTCTTCTTTACTACTATTACTTTACAACAACTAACAAGAGATTCTGTGCAATTACATTAAAAGCTCTGTTATAGACATATTACCAAATGGAAACATAGCATCTGTTTTCCAACAAATATGTACATCCATTGTTTGCTCCCAAGCACTACATATTTGATTGGATGAAAGACAGTGGAAGTAAGGCTATTTGACTAAATGAGGACATATTCCAAATACACATTTTTCACTAAATCATTTTGATTAATTCTTATACATTGCTTTCAAAACCTACCCTCTTCTGAGCATTAATAGTGATATACTTTCGCATCCTAACTCTCTATCAAATAGATTGGATAAAGCAGTAACTTCCTATTGACAAGAAATGAGTTGGTGGATAGTGCAGTGTACTAGCAACCATAAGGAATGGGGAAAAGATGGGGAAAATGTTGGTTCTGTCTTAAAAAGAGTCTAGTTCTTAAGTTTCACCATACACAGGTAAAATAATGAAGTTAGCATAAATATGAAAATATGAAATAAGGTAATATATTAATAATATAAATTATGTTTACAGGTATATCATTAATACATCTTTAAAATATGGGCATAAATTGCTAATATCTAGTATCTATTTCCTGTGGAAAATACTCACCATTTTTCCTTTCAAATAAAATATAATTTAAATAAAAAGTAAAACAAAACTCAACACAGTAGTTATATCCTGTATAATTGAGGATAGCTTAAAAATGTGGGCAGCTTAGTTCTTGAATTAATTAAGCTAAGAAGGTCAACCTGATCATCAGAAACATTATTTGTGAGAGATGAGGATTTAAGTATCATTACTTTCTTACAGAAACAGTAGAAAATTGGAATCTAAAAAGGAAAGCCTATCAAAAGCATATCATTAGCATTTAACGGAGTTAGGTATAGAAATCAGAGTGCAAATATATATCCTGATAACACATACAATCAATAAAAATATTTAATCTATTTTTATGACTTTTCACACTCAGGTATGATAGGGAGCAGAGCTAATTATCTATATATCTGTATCATATATTTTGTATACTACCCTTGATAGCTATTTGTGAGTAGTGCCTGTGACACAGATAATTTTAATTTTTCAATAATTAGAAATAATTTCTGGATGGGCACAGTGGCTCACACCTGTAATTCCAGTACTTTCAGAGGCTGAGATGGGCGGATCACCTGAGGTCAGGAGTTCGAGACCAGCAGGGCCACCATGGCGAAATCCCATCCCTACTAAAAATGCAAAAAATTAGCTGAGCATGGTGGCAGGTACCTGTAATCCTAGCTACTCAGGGGGCTGAGGCAGGAGAATCATTTGAACCTGGGTTGCAGAGGCTGCAGTGAGCTGAGTTTGCACCATTGCACTCCAGCCTGGGCAACAAGAGTGAAACTCTGTCACACACACACACACACACACACACACACACACAAACGTGGCATGTGCCTGTACTCTCAGCTACTCTGGGAGGCTGAGATGGGAGGATCACTTGAGCCCAGGAGGTTGAGGCTGTGGTAAGTGTGATCAAGCCACTGCACTCCAGACTGGGCAACAGAGTGAGAACTCGTCTCAAATAAAAAGATTAGTTTCATGTATATAATGACTACTTATTGATACTATGGAAAAATAAGATAATGGAATAACAAATGATTGTTTTAGAATATCACTAATTCACTTAACAGAGTAATGATCTAGGTTTTCCTTTAAAAGATATAAATGTGTTTAAGCCCACTAACTTCTATTTTGGAAGTCATTACTAATATTGTTCATGAATAGTCTCTCCTGACTCATATAACATGTCATATTAAACTTCAATGGAATAAGCACAACATTGTTTTTATTTCATGAATGATTATACTTAATAAAAATACATTATTTAGTTTAAATCAATTGAATGAGAGAAGTTATGGTCTAGGAACAAGAATTATGAAATAATAAGAATAGTTCATTTTAATATTCTCTTGAATCTAAAGTTGTTCAACCCATGTGTTCTACTCTGACCTCATGATTTTTGAAGCATTGTTGAAGCACAACACATTTTATTACTAATTAGCATATTGTATTTGGATAGAAGCAATAGAATAGCAAAGTTATAAATTAACAAAGTAAAGGGATAAGTTAAAAAGTAGTAGAATAGAATAATCTGAATTTGAAAATCATATAAAAATAGGAAATCTAACAGGTGTTAAATTGCAGTTTCTAAACTTTCAATATAAAATTGAACCAGTATCCATGAGACATTTGATTACAGACAAATACAGGGGAAGCAAAATCCAAGTTTTGGAAGAATTTCCTTTTTAATACAATTTTTTGAGTAAAATAAAAATGTAATTTAGAAAATAATGTGCATATATTGTGCAGCGTTAAAAAATGTCAATTTTGAAATTACATACAATTATTAGTTCACTTGTGGGTAGTCACTGAGATCCCTTTCTGAATAGTGTTTGCAAAAGGCAAGGTTATACTTTAACAAGATATTAAAAGTATTTGTGAATTTTTAAAGGAAGGACTATGTATTACTTTACTTCCAAGTTTTTAATATTGCTCCAGACATACAGAAAATCATAAGAGGCACAAGATAAAACATTAATAATGCTAACTTTGACCATTTAGCATATGCTGAATCCATTTTTGTCCACTATAAAGTTACTGTTTTCTTAATGGAAATAACTATGTAATTTATGTGGACATAATTTGAGTATAATTTGTAGTGAGATACATTATGCCTACATTCTGTTCCTTATCAAAATTTATACCCACTGATTCTAGCGCAAGTTGATGATTTCCAACTCTACCATGTCTCTCCACTCGTTAGTTGGAGTTCCACTGTAAGGAATAACTCTTCTTATTTATCTATTTATTTACTTATTTATTTATGCATCATATGGACTCATGTATCTTTATTTTGTTCAACCAAAATTTATAATATATTAGTATCACTATTTATTTACTATCACTGTTATCATATTCAGATTATTTCATATTTGATGAAGCATGAGCCCCTTCAAGTTAGCTCCTGTGTCCTTCTGACAAGTCCCCAATGTTCTTTTAGCAGTTAATTGGTGTTGCAAGAAGATGTTGTGTACTCATCTTGTATTTTTTCCACCAAAGCATTAAGAGTCAACCATTTTTCCAAGTATCCTGGTTTATTTCACTGGAAAACAGTATTTAGAAAACAAAATCTATGCATTGACAGAGCTAGGAAATTCACGTAAGTGTGAATGTGTTTATGGCACATATACAGATATATATGTAATATAAAATATATAATGTGGGTATATATGAATATATGTGTATCATCTATCTTAAATATATATGAAATTAGTTTATATTAATACTTTCAATTAAAATATAATGCCACAGGGTACATTCTAGTCTTCCTTCTTTCTCTATTTGTAAATTGGTTCCTCAACAGAAAAGCCTGCCTTCCATTATGCTGAATATATTTACTTATTTACTAATACTCAGAACACATAGAAGGAAACTTCAGAATTGTTAATCCATACCACTGTGAAAAGCAAGTTTACTATTCACAAGGGTTTAATATTTATTTTAATTCATAGGAAAAATTTGTATACAGTAAAATTAACAATCATAAGTATAAAATTCTATGAATTTCAAAAGTAGATGTATTCATAGAACTCATATTCTTATCAAAATTTGAATATTTATGTCACATAGAATAGTGAAGTAATACAGTATGTATTATTTGGTGTTTGACTTCTTTTACTCAGTATAATGTTGCTAAAATTTGTCCATGTAGTCTGATGGTATTAGGAGTTTGTTCCATTTTATTGCTGATCAGTATTCTTTTGTGTAATGTACAACTCATTAATTCATTCTCCTTTTAATGGACATTTGGGTTGTTTACAGCATTTGGCTTTTATGAATAAAAATGCCAAAATCATTCTTTGGAAAGTCTTTTGTAGACATCTGTTTCGAGTTCTCTTGGAAAATACCTAAGAGTGAAGTTACTGGGTCATATGGTAGGTGTAAGTTTAACTTTGTAAGAAACTGCTATAATTTTCCCCTAACTGGCTGTACCATTTGTGCTTTTAGCAGCAATGTGTGAGTATTCCATTTGCTTCAAATCCTCAGTGACATTTGGTATTTTCATTTTAAAAATTTCAGTAATTTGAGTGGCTGTATAGTAGCATTTCATAATAGCTGTAATTTGTATTTCCCCAAAGTATTAGTTGTTTTTATACATTTTATTTTCATATAGTAATTGTTTACTGTGCCCTAGGAATTTTTTCCCTTCCACACTTTGCCAAGATAATCTCTTTTGTTTGCCTTAAGAACCATTATGACTTTAACTTTAGAATTTAGGTTATGATATCTCTCAAATTAATTTTTACGTTTGGTGTTGGGTGAAGTTTGAGCTTCATGTTTTTCCGTATGGATATTCAGTTGATCTAGATTCATTTGTTGAAAAAAAACTTTATCCAATGATTTGCTTTGATGCCTTTGTGGAAATTCAATTGTGCTATATAAGTGTGGGTCTATTTTGGAAGTCTCTAGTTTATTCTATTGATGCAATTATCTACCATTAAAGAAAAGTCAAGCTGTCTTAATTACGGTAGATTTATAGTACATTTTGAAATTGGATTGTGTGTAAGTCCTCCACCTTTTCTTTTCCCAAGAATTTTTGGCTATGCTAGGTATTTTGCATTTCCAAATACATTTTGAATCAGCTTTTATATTTCTACAAGGAAAACCTGTTGTTGCTTGCATTGAGATGGCGCTCAATCTATATATCAATTGAAGAAGAGTGCAGAATAAACACTTAATTTTGAACCCTCTAATCCACAAACATGTTGTATCTCTCCATTGATTAAGACTTTTGTTAATTTCTCTGAGCAATATTTTGAAGTTTTCAGTGTAGAGGCTGAACAGTACTTTGTTAGATTTGTTACTAGGGGTTTCATGTTTCAAAACATGATTTTATACAGGATTGATTTTTGAATTCATTTTCTAGTTGTATGCTGTTAATATATTAATCCTGTACTCTGAAATTCTGCTAAATACACCTACTGGTTCTAGCAGTTGTTTAAAAATTCCTTGTGATTTTCTACGTAAACAATTATGTTATCTGCAAGTAGAGACAGATTTAATTTTTTCTTTCCAAACTTTATGTGTATTTTTTTTCTTGCCTTTTTGGCATGATGTGAAATAGTAGTGGTAAAAGCAGACATCTTTACCTTATTACTAATTTTTATAGCAAATCACTCAATATCATATTATGCATGATATTAGCTATAGATGTTTTAGGTATGCTTTTTATAATATTGAGAAAATACATTCTCTTTATCTATTCAGAGGATTCCAAGTTATTTCTGTTTCAGTCTGTTTATATAGTAAATTACAATAATTGATTTTCAAATGTTAAAATATCTTTCCATGACTTTAAGAAACCCCATTTTCTCAGTATGATCCTTTTTATATGTTACTGGCTTCATTTTGCTAACATTTTGTTAGGAATTTTTACGTCTTTATTTGTGAGGAATATTAGTCTTTGATTTTTTGGTAAGTTTTTGGTCATGTTTTGGGTAATTCTGGCCTCATAAAATAAGTTTGGAGGTGTTCTATATCTATTTTCAAAAAAATGTGTAAGCTTTGTATTTCTAAATTTCTTTGCAGAATTTAAATTAAGTAGTAGAAACATCCAGGCCTTGAGTTGTTTTATGAAAAAGGTTTATTTTATATATTTTTAAAATAATATATTCTACTTTTTGCTAAGTAAGTGGGCTATTCAGATTTTCTATTTCATCTTGTTAGTTTTTGAAAATTGTGTTTTCTCAGGAACGCATGCATTTCATTCCAGGTGTCAAGTATATTCAATAAAGCCATTCATAATATTCCCATATTATGCTATTACTGTCTGTAAAATCTGTAGTAAAATCCTGTTTTTTACATTACATTAGTAATTTGGGTTTTTCTATAATTTTTTATCAGTCTTTTATCAATATTTCATCAATTTTATGTCTTTTTAAAGAACCAATTTTGGTTTTGGTAACTTTATTTCTGCTTGTTATTATTTTCTTCATTCTATATATTTTGGATCTAATTTGTTCACCTTTCTTTAAAATGACGATAAAAACTTAGGTCATTTATTTTAAACACTTAATCTCTTCACATAAAAGCCATTAACTTTATTTTTAAGCATTGCTTTAGGTACTTCCCCAACAGTTGATATAACATATTTGATACAATATATCAACATGACAGTTGATGTATTGTATTTGATATACCATATTTTATTATCATTCATGTTGAAATATAATTTCCTTTGTTGTTTATCTTTCACCTATGGAATATTAAGAAGTGGGTTCTTTCGTATCCAAGTATTTGTGGATTTCTACATATTTCTTATTATTGATTTTTGTATTTAAATTTGTTATGATCAGGTAGTATACTCTGTACCAGCATAGAGTCTAACTAGGTAAACTGTTCATAAGCACTTAAAACTATGTATATTCTGTAGCTGTTGTGTGAGTATTTTGTAAAACCAATTAGGTCAGGAAGGTAGATAGTACTTTTCAGATTTTCTCTATGACATTTTTTTTTTTTTTGAGACAGAGTCTCGCTCTGTTGCCCAGGCTGGAGAACAGTGGCACAATCTTGGCTCACTGCAAGCTCTGCCTCCCGGGTTCACACCATTCTCCTGCCTCAGCCTCCTGGGTAACTGGGACCACAGGGGCCCGCCACCACGCCTGGCTAATTTTTTGTATTTTCAGTAGAGATGGGGTTTCACCATGTTAGCCAGGATGGTCTCAATCTCCTGACCTCGTGATCTGCCCACCTCGGCCTCCAAAAGTGCTGGGATTACAGGCATGAGCCACCGGTCGGTCTAGTTGTTTTTTTGTTGTTTTTCGATTACTGAGGGAGGGGTATTAAAATTTTCAGCTGTGTCTTTTGATTTGCCTTTCTCCCTTTAGTTCTGCCAGATTTTCTTTTACGTATTTTGCAGCTCTGTTCTTAAGCACATCACTTATGATTGCTATGTGTTCTTGATGAATTGGCCCTTTTAATCTAACCTCCATACCTTTGTAGTAAGCCTTATTTTAAAGTATATTTTCTCTGATATTAGTATTTAACGTTCCAAATTTCTTATGTTTACAGTTTGTGTGATACACCTGTTGTTCTATTGTTGTTCTTTGCTTTCAGCCTATCTGTGCCTTATACTTTTAAATTCACTTCTTTAACCAATAATATAGAGTTGAGTCATGCTTTTTCATAGTCTTATAATTTCTGCCTTTTAATTTAATATTATTTAACTTATGCCTATCATTTTGTTATGCATTTTTCATTTTCCCAATTATATATTTTTAATTCTTTATCCTTTTCCTTCTTTGTTTTGCTTCTTGTTTTAAATACTTTGTATTATATTTCCTCTATTGATTTTGTGGCTATAACACTTAGCACTATCTTTTTTAAGTTATTACTATAGGGATTATAATATGTATAAGTCAAAATATATTTAGGGTAAATATTCAACCACTTTATACAAAATATATGAGCCTTCGAACAATAGGGTTTACTTTATTCTTGTTTTCTTTGTATTATTTTTCTTATATATCTCTACATACATTATTAAGTTCACAATAAAATATTCCATTTCATTTTAAACATAATTCTGTGGAGGGGCCAAGATGGCCGAATAGGAATAAGGTGGGTGATTTCTGCATTTCCAACTGAGGTACCCAGTTCATCTCACTGGGACTGGCCAGGCAGTGGGCACAACCCACAGAGAGTGAACAGAAGCAGAGTAGGGTATCGCTTCATGCAGGAAGTGTATGGAGCAGGGCACCTTTCTCCCCCAGCCAAGGAAAGTGGTGAGGGACTGTTCTACCCACCAGGAATACTACACTTTTCCTAGGGATTTTTCCAATGCGCGGATCAGGATATTCCCTATTGAGCCTACACCACCAGGGTCACAGGTTTCAAGCACAAAACTGGGCAGCTTGAAACCTGCCAGTCTGGGAAGACACTGAGCTGCAGGAGTTTTTTCATACTTCAGCAGGGCCTGGAACTCCAGGGAGATAGGAGAACTGTTTACTCCCCTGGAAAGGGGGCTGAAGCCAGGGAGTCAAGCAGTCTCGCTCAGTGGGTTCCATTCTCACAGAGCCCAGCAAGCCAAGAACAACCGGCTTGAAATTTCCACTGCCAGCACAGCAGTCTGGAGTCTGCCTGGGATGACTGAGGTTGTGGTGGGGGTGGGGGGCATGACCACCATTACTGTGGCTTTAGTAGGCGGTTTTCCTATGACAGTGCTAATAAGACTGGGAGGTTTGGACTGGGCAGAATTCACCACAGTGCAGAAAAGCAGTTGTGGCCAGACTGGTTCTCTAGACCCCTACTCTCCAGGAAGGGCAGCAACTCCAGTCAGGGGCTTACAGACAGCAGTCTCATCTCCCTGGGACAGAACACCTGTGGGGAGGGGCAGCTGTGGTCTCAGGTTCAGTGGACTTAATCTTTCCTGCCTGCCTGCCGGGTCTGAAGAGAGTGGCTGATCCTGACAAGGGGGATTCTCCCAGCACAGCACACCAGCTCTGCTAAGGGACAGATTGCCTCCTCAAGCAGGTCCCTGACCCCATGCCTCCTGACTGGGAGAGACCTCCCAACAGGGGTTGACAGACACCTCATACAGGAAAGATCCGGCTGGCATCATGACGCTGTCCCTCTGGGACAAAGCTTCCAGAGGAAGGAGCAGGCAGCAATCTTTGCTGTTCTGCAGCCTCCACTGGTGTTATCCAGGTGAACAGAGTCTGGAGTGGACCCCCAGAAAACTGCAGCAGACCTGCAGAAGAGGAGCCTTACTGTTGGAAGAAAAACTAACAAACAGAAAGCAACAACAAAAACAACATGAACAAAAAAAAGACCCCGCCGACAAAAACCCCATCCAAAGTTCATTAGCCTCAAAGACCAAAAGTAGATAAGTCCAAGAAGATGGGGGAAAACCAACGCAAAAACACTGAAAATTCCAAACCCAAAATGCCTCTTCTCCTTCAAATAATCGCAACACCTCTCCAGCAAGGGCACAGAACTGAACGGAGGATGAGATGGACAAATTGACAGAAGTAGGCTTCAGGAGGTGGGTAATAACAATCTCCTCTGAGCTAAAGGAGCATGTTCTAACCCAATGCAAATAAGCTAAGAACCTTGAGAAAAAGTTACTGGAGCTGCTAACTACAATAACCAGTTTAGAGAGGAACATAAATGACCTGGTGGAGCTGAAAAACACAGCACGAGAACTTTGTGAAGCATATAGAAGTAATGATAGCCAAATCGATCAAGCAGAAAAAAGTATATCAGAGATTGAAGACCATCTTGCTGAAATAAGGCATGCAGACAAGATTAGAGAAAACAGAATGAAGAGAAGCAAACAAAACCTCTGGGAAATATGGGACTATGTAAAAAGACTGAACCTACGATTGATTGGAATGCCTGAAAGAGATGTTCTACATTGTTAAAGAAAAGAATTTTCAACCCAGAGTTTCATATCCAGCCAAACTAAGCTGAATAAGCGAAGGAGAAATAAAATCTCTTCCAGACAACAAATGCTGAGGGATTTCATCACCACCAGGCCTGCCTTGCAAGAGCTCCTGAAGGAAGCACTAAATATGGAAAGGAAAAACTGCTACCAGCCACTGCAAAAACACACCACAATATAAAGACCAATGACACTATGAAGAAATTGCATCAATTATTGTGCAAAATAACCAGCTAGCATCATGATGACATGATCAAATTCACACATAACGATATTAACCTTAAATGTAAATGGGCAAAATGCCCAATTAAAAGACACAGACTGGCAAATTAGATAAAGAGTCAAGACCCTTCGGTGTGCTGTATTCAGGAGAACCATCTCACATGCAAAGACACACATGGGATTAAAATAAAGGGATGGAGGAAAATTTACCAAGCAAATGGAAAGCAGAAAAAAGCAGGAGTTGCAATCCTAGTCTCTGACAAAAGAAACTTTAAAGCATCAAAGATAAAAAAGACAAAGAAAGGCATTACATAATGGTAAAGGTATCAATGCAACAAGAAGAGCTAACTATTCTAAATATACATGCACCCAATATAGGAGCACCCGGATTCATAAAACAAGTTCTTGGAGACCTACAAAGAGACGTAGAGTCCCACACAACACCCCACTGTCAATATTAAACAGATCAACAAGACAGAAAATTAACAAAGATATTCAGGACTTGAACTCAGCTCTGGATCAAGTGGACCTAATAGACACCTACAGAACTCTCCAGCCCAAATCAGTAGAATATACATTCTTCTCAGTGCCACATGGCACTATACTAAAATTGACCACATAATTGGAAGTAAAACACTCCTCAGCAAATGCAAAAGAACAGAAATCATAACAGTCACTCAGACCACAGTGCAATCAAATTAGAACTCAGGGTTAAGAAACTCAGTAAAAACCACACAACTACATGGAAATTGAACAACCTGCCCCTGAATGACTCCTAGATAAATAATGAAATTAAGGCAGAAATCAAGAAGTTCTTTGAAACCAATGAGAACAAAGGACAACACACCAGAATCTCTGGGACACAGCTAAAGCAGTGTTAAGAGGGAAATTTACAGCACTAAATGCCCACAAAAGAAAATTAGAAAGATCTCAAATTGACACCTTAATATCACATTAAAAGAAGTAGAGATGCAAGAGCAAACAAATCCAAAAGCTAGCAGAAGACGAGAAATAGCTAAGATCAGAGCAGAACTAAGGGAGATAGAGACATGAAAAACCCTCCAAAAAATCCATGAATCCAGGAGCTGGTTTTATGAAAAACTAACAAAATTGGCCACTAGCTAGACTAATAAAGAAGAAAAGAAAGAAGAATCAAATAGACACAATAAAAAATGATAAGGGGGATATCACCATTGACCCCACAGAAATACAAACTACCAGCAGTCAATACTGTAAACAACTCTACACAAATAATCTAGAAAATCTAGAAGAAATGGATAAATTCCTGGACACACACACCCTCTGAAGACTAAACTAGAAAGAAATCAAATCCCTGAATAGACCAATATCAAGTTCTGAAATTGAAGCAGTAATTAACCTACCAACCAAATAAAGCCTAGGACCAGAAAGATTCACAGCTGAATTCTACCAGAGGTACAAGGAGGAGCTGATGCCATTCCTTATGAAATTATTCCAAAAATTTGAAAAGGAGGGATTATGCCCTCCCTTCTGATTTCATAGGACCAGAATCATTCTGATACCAAAACCTGGCAGAGACACAACAAAAAAAGAAAACTTCAGGCCAATATCCCTGATGAACATTGATGTAAAAATCCTCAATAAAATACTGGCAAACTGAAACCAGCAGCACATCAAAAAGCTTATTTACACAATCAAGTCGGATCGATCTGTAAAATGCAAGGTTGGTCCAACATAGGCAAATCAATAAACGTAGTCTCTCACATAAACCGAACGAATGACAAAAACCAAAAGATTATCTCAATAGATGCGGAAAAGGCCTTCAATAAAATTAAACATTGCTTTATGTTAAAAGCTCTCAATGAAGTAGGTGCTGATGGAACATATCTCAAAATAATAAGAGCTATTTATGACAAACCCACAGCCAATATCATAGTGAATGGGCAAATGCTATAAACATTTCCTTTGAAAACTGGCACAAGACAAGAATGACCTCTCTCAGCACTCCTGTTCAACATAATATTGGAAGTTCGGGCCAGGGCAATCCAGGCAAGAGAAAGAAATAAAGCATATTCGAATAGGAAGACAGGAAGTCAAATTGTCTCTCTTTGCAGATGGCATGATTGTATATTTAGAAAACCCCATCATCTCAGCTTAAAAACTCCTTAAGCTGATAAGCAACTTCAGCAAAGTCTCAGGATACAATGTGCAAAAAATCACAAGCATTCCTATATACCAACAATAGACAAGCAGAGAGCCAAATCATGAACTCCCCTTCACAATTGCTACAAAGAGAATAAAATACCTAGGAATACACCCAACAAGGGACATGAAGGACCTCTTCAAGGAAAACTACAAACCACTGCTCAGGGAAATAAGAAAGGACACAAACCAATGGACAGAATCCAAATCCATGAGGTCCAAATCCTTATGGACAGAAAGAATCAATATCATAAAAATTGCCATACTGCCGAAAGTAATTCATAGATCCTATGCTCTTCCCATCAAACTACCATTGAAATTCTTCACAGAATTAGAAAAGAAAAACTACTTTAAATTTTATATGTAACCAAAAAACAGCCTGTATAGCCAAGACAATCCTAAGCAAAAAGAACAAAGCTGGAGGCATCACGCTACTCAATTTCAAACTATACTACAAAGCTATAATAACAGAATCAGCATGCTAATGGTACCAAAACAGACATATAGACCAATGGAAAAGAACAGAGACCTCAGAAATAACACCACACATCTACAACCGTCTGCTCTTCAACAAACCTGAAAAAAACAAGCAATGGGGAAAGGATTTTCTATTTAATAAATGGTGCTGGGAAAACTGGTTAGCCATATGCATAAAACTCAAACTGGACCCCTTCCTTACACTTTATACAAAAATTATCTCAAGATGGATTAAAGACTTAAATGCAAAACCCCAAACCATAAAAACCCTAGAAGAAAAAATAGGTAATGCAATTTAGGGCATAGGCATGGGCAAAGATTTCATGACTAAAACGCCAAAAGCAATGGCAACAAAAGCCAAAACTGACACATGGGATCCAGTTGAACTAAAGAGCTTCTGCTCAGCAAAAGAAACTATCATCAGAGTGAACAGGCAAACTACAGAATGGGAGAAAGTTTTGCAATCTACCCATCTGACAAAGGTCTTATGTTCAGGATCTACAAGGAACTTAAACAAATTTACACGAAAAGCCAAACAACTCCATCAAAAAGTGGGTAAAGTATATGAGCAGACACTTCTCAAAAGAAGACGCTTATGCAGACAACAAACATATGAAAAAAAGCTCAACACCAATCATCATTAGAGAAATGCAAATCAAAACCACCACAATGAGATACCATCTCATGCCAGTCAGAATGGAGATTATTAAGAAGTCAAAAAAACAATAGATGCTGGTGAGGCTGTGGAGCAATAGGAACACTTGTATACTGTTGCTGGGAATGTAAATTATTTCAACCATTGTGGAAGACACTGTGGCGATTCCTCAAGGATCTAGAACCAGAAATACCATCAGGAATCCCATTACTGGGTATATACCCAAAAGAATATAAATAATTCTACTATAAAGACACATGCATATGTATATTTACTGCAGCACTATTTACAATAGCAAAGACATGGAACCAACCCAAATGCCAAACAATGATAGACTGAATAAAGAAAATGTGGCACATATACACCATGGAAAACTATGCAGCCATAAAAAGGAATGAGATCATGTCCTTTGTAGGACATGGATGAAGCTGGAAGCCATCATCCTCAGCAAACTAACACAGGAACAGAAAACCAAACACCGTGTATTCTCACTCTTAAGTAGGAGTTGAACAATGAGAACACATGGACACAGGGAAGGAAACAACACATAGCAGGGAGGGCCTGTTGGGGGGCGGGGTGGGAGGCTGGAGGAGGGAGAGCATTAAGACAAATAGCTAATGCATGCAGGGCTGAAAACCTAGATGACAGGTTGATAGGTGCAGCAAACCACCATGGCACATGAATATCTATGTAACAAACCAGCACATTCTGCACATGTTTCTTGGAACTTACAGTAAAATTAAAAAATAATAATAATTTTGCTTTTAAAACAAAATTTTACTTTTAAAATTTAAAAGGGAATATATAATTTTTGTTATTTGTGCTTTGTGTACTTTTTTGGGATTTACCAACTCTTTAGAGTTTCCATCTTTTGTCAATTTGCTTCAGCTTGAGGAACCTTTCTTTAGCATTTCTTATTAAAAAAGACCTGTTGACAATGTTTTTTCTTAGTTTTTGTTTATATAAAAAATGTATTTATTTTGCCTTTGCTTTTGAACATTTTCACTGCATATAGAATTTTGGGTTGACAGTTATGTGTTGAACAATGTTCCCTCCTCTTTTTCCCTTTAATTTTCTTTGATGAGAAGCCTGATACCTTTTGCATAGCTATTTCCTTTATGTTGTGTGTTATTTTCTCTGAATATTTCCAAGATCTTCAATTTACCTTTCATTCTAATCAGTTTTAATATTACTTATTTATTATTCTGTTTAAAGTTGATGAAGCTTTTGGATCTCTAAGCTGTTGTTTGCCAAATTGGAAAACATGGTACCATTATTTCTTCAAACATTTTTCTGTTTTTTTTTCTAGGACTCTAATTCCCCTTATATTAGATTATTTGTTATTGCCCCAGGTCATTAAGACTTTGGGTTTTTTTTTTCTATTTTTGTTTACCCAAACTGTTCCTCAGATTGCATAATTTCTATTGTCCTCTTAAATTTACCAACTCTTTTTTCTGCTACTCTAAAGTTACTGTTAAGTCCTTTCAGTAGACTCAATTTCATGTCAAAAACTTCAATTTAGTTTTCTTTAATAGCTTCCACTTCTCTGACAAAATTTCCTATCCATTTATTCATTATGACTACATTTTCTTTTAAAGATGTGACTTATGGCTTTGATGTGACTTTATAACAGTTACTTTTACACATTTTTGTTCTTGTTGTTGTTGTTTGCCTGTGTTTGCTAATTTCAATGTCTGGGTTTGTCAAAGTCCTTTCTATTACGTGCTGTTTTCTTGGTCGGAGGAAACATTTTTTGGTTTTTTGTTTTTTTTTTTTTCAGTACTAGTAATACTTTATTGTTTGCTGGACATTGTGGATTCTACATAGCTGAAGGTCTGTATTTTGTATTCTTTCTTTAATGAGTACTGTGTTTTTTTCTGACATTCACTTATTTTGTAGAAAGGTGTGCCTCCTGTTACTGTGAAATCTCCAGGCTCCATTCAGTTCACAGGTTTCCAGCAGGTGTTCTGTGCCAGGTGTTGTAAAATTTCACTCTAGCCATGTTCTGCATTGTATTCTGGCAGATAGTTGATGGAGTACTTACGCAGGTTTGGGGAAATGTATTCCTGCACAGCTCACTTTTCTTTAATAGCCTACCTAACAAATATCAGCAGTCCAAGTATCATCAAACTCCAGTGTTTGCCTCCAAAGTTCAGTGAAAGCACTATGCTTCTGAGTTTAGTTTTGACCCTATCTTTCCACACATATGCCCAGACAGTGCCTACATTGTGCTCAGTCACAAAGCTAGATCAACAGTGGATCTCATCACTTGCAGTTCCCATTTGTCAGGGATCATGGTCCTATACTGTATGCTATCCAATGTCTGAAAATTGTATTATTATATATTTAGCTTTATTTTTATTAAAAGCATAGGGCTAACTTCAGTACTAGTTACGCTGTTATGGCCAGTAATGAAAAGCCATGTATTATTCCCTCTCATCAAATATATTTTGTCTAGTAATTCATATAAATTTTTGCAAAACATCAAGGTTTAATGATAAAAATGCAAAAATATTAAATAAAAAGCATAAAATAGAAGGAAAATATGTTAGTAACCAGAGTCACAGTTCTGCAACAACTTGGAAATTTTACTAATGGTGGCATGGATCACTGTGTTTCTAAGCTGGGCTCTCTAAATGAGCACTTTTAAACATAATAGGAATTCAATCTTTTGTGGATATTTTAAAAATAATTTTCTTTTAGTATATTTTTATATTTAGTTTGATCCATTCCATTATTTAGTACATTAATAGTGTTATGTATAGTGTGAACTGGTTGTACTTATATTTTAGATTTTTTGGCATATTTCAATGTCTCATCAAATGCCAATCAAATGTGCCAGCACTATTTATGAATTACTCCTTTTCCCTAAGTTTGAAGTAATAATTAATTTAATACATCTTTGTTAGGTACTTGTTATGCTCAAAGTATTGTTCAAGTATATTAGTGAACAAAGACCAAAAACCCTATTTTGTAGATCTTTACGTGGTAATGGATGGAAACAGACCATAAACAAGGAACTTAAATAATTTATTAAATGATGAAAAAGAAGACATAGATGAGTCCCAACATTAAATAGCATCGTTAGAATAACACTCATCGGAAGATGACTTTTAGGTTCATGTCTGAATTTACTCTTCCAGGAATCATCTATTCACATAACTGATCCCTTTTTAAAATTATTATAGGTATGCATTTTATATTTGATATCTAGTCACACAAATCCCCCTTTATAATTGTGTCATATTTTGAACATTTTGGATATAACCGTTCTTTTTCTCTTCTATTCAATTTTTAGAATCAAATAAAGTTCTGAAAATCTCTTTGGATAATAATTGGATTTGCATTATGCATAAGCTAATTTGAGAAAAATTTACATCTTTATTCAGTTTTCCACTATGAGAATATAGAAAGTATATCCATTTTTGTAAGTATTTATATATTTATTGGTAAGACTTTTTTTGCTTTCCTCTTCGACACACATTTCCACTTAAGTTTATTTACAGGTATAGTTTTGGCTGCTGTTTAAAATGTGATCCTTTAATTTTCAGTTTGGATACAGAAATGTATTAGGTGACCATTTCAATTTATCTTTTCTAATACATTTATTAGTTAATGTTTTTGGCTTTGCAAAATCATAGAAATAGAGACAACACTTTATTTTCCTTTCTTTTCATTCTCTCTTTTTCTGTTTTATGAGCTAGTTGTTGTTCATCTATTTTCTTATTTTATTATATAAACTAACTTGGAGCACAATGTCAAAGAAATAGTGTTGACTTTTGGAATCCCTATCTTTTCTTAATTGAGAGGACTTTTTAAAATTTTTGCAATCTATCTATATGACAAAGGGCTAATATCCAGAATCTACAAAGAACTTAAACAAATTTACAAGAAAAAAACAACCCCATCAAAAAGTGGGTGAAGGATATGAACAGACGCTTCTCAAGAGAAGACATTTATGCAGCCAGCAAACATATGAAAAAATGCTCATCAGCACTGGTCATTAGAGAAATGCAAATCAAAACCACAATGAGATACTATCTCTCACCAGTTAGAATGGCAATCATTAAAAAGTCAGGAAACAACAGATGCTGGAGAGGATGTGGAGAAATAGGAACACTTTTACACTGTTGGTGGAAGTGTAAATTAGTTCAACCATTGTGGAAGACAGTGTGGCAATTCCTCAAGCATCTAGAACTAGAAATACCATTTAACTCAGCAATCCCATTACTGGGATATACCCAAAAGAATATAAACCATTCTACTATAAAGACACATGCACATGTATGTTTATTGCAGCACTGTTCACAATAGCAAAGACTTGGAACCAACCCAAATGCCCATCAATGATAGACTGGATAAAGAAAACGTGGCACATAAACACCACGGAATACTATGCAGCCATAAGAAAGGATGAGTTCATGTCCTTCGCAGGGACATGGATGAAGCTGGAAACCGTCATTCTCAGCAAACTAACATAGGAACAGAAAACCAAACACCTCATGTTCTCATTCATAAGTAGGAGTTGAACAATGAGAACACATGGACATTGGGAGGGGAACATCACACACTGGGGCCTGTCAGGGGGTGGGGTGCAGTGGGAGGGATAGCATTGGGAGAAACACCTAATGTAGATCATGAGTTGATGGGTGCAGCAAAGCAACATGGCACATGCATACATACCTATGTAACAAACCTGCACATTCTGCACATGTACCCCCGAAGTTAAAGTATAGTAATAAAAAAAAAAGTACATGATGTTATGGGATACATACAGATAATGAAATGGTTACTATAGTGAAGCAAGTTAATACATATGTCTCTTTTTTTTAAGAGCAGCTAAAATCTACTCATTTAGCAGGAATCCCAAATACAGTAGAATTGTATGACCTGTAGTTCTCATATTGTATAATAGATCTCTAGATTTCTTCATCCTACATATCTGCTACTCTACTTTGTATCCTCTGACCCACATCTCCCCATTTCCTCCTCTCTCCCCCCACGCCTGGTAACCACTATTTTATTGTCTATCTCTGTATATCTAACTTTTTTAATACACTCCACATATAAGTGAGATTATGCATTTTTTTCTATGTCTGGCTTATTTTACCTAGTTTAATGTCCTCCAGCTTCATCTGTGTTATGGCAAAATGGCACAATTTCTTTCATTTTAAAGGCTAAATATTATTCCACTATGATATTATTTCACATCATACTTTCTTTGTCCATTCATCTGTCAATAGACACTTAGTTTGTTTTGATATCTTGGCTATTGTAAATAAAGTCTAAATGAACATGGGAGTGCATATATCTTTATGAGACGGTGATTTCATTTCCTTGGGTATGTGCCCAGCAGCAGGATTGCTAAGTCATTTGATAGTTCTATTTGTAATTTCTTTGGAAACCTGTATGTTCTTCTTAATGTCTGCACCAATCTACAATCCTAACAACAGTGTAGAAGGGTCCTCTTCTCTCTGAAATAATTTTAATAATTCTTTATTAATAATAATATAGGCATGTAGCTTAAAGTAGATATAAAGATATAATAAAATGTATATCCTTATTTTCCCTTATTATGTATATGTGTGTATCCTTTTATTTCTTATTTACTATAATTTTTTGTTATTTTAGTCAGAAATTAATTTTAAATGGATATTAAATTATGTCAAAAAGCTTTCAACATAAACCAAGATTATCACATTTTATTAATTTGAAAAATACATTTTGGAAAGGAACCTAATTGGAAGTGATGCATTATGTTTTAATATATGGGTTTGTGGTTATTGGCTCATATTTGATTTATGATTAATTATTTCCTTAAAATATACAGACCTATTTTCATGTAACTTTCATAAATTTTTCTTGTCAGTATGACAACTTCCTTCCATGCTTTACTACACTATTAACAATAAAATACGGTGATTCATGTATTTCAAAAATTGAAGCTGGGCATAATGTTGTGTCCCTGTAGACCTAGCTACTTGGGAGGCTGGAGTGGGAGGATTGCTTGAGCCCAGGGGTTCAAGTTTAGCATGGACAACATAGCAAGAATCTACTTCTAATAAAAACATTAAAAGAGCTTTGTATATTGTTTTAGAGGTAATTATTTGAAAACTTTTCAGTTCTCTTCAGGGATTTTTGTATTTTTTAAAACCCAAATATGATCATTAACATTTTAAAAAAATTAATCTATTATAACAAGTTTTAAATTGATTTAAAAATAATTTTTAATCTCATATTTTTAATTTTACTTTCTTAGAGCAAATTTTGAATTTGGTCCTTCTAAAAGCTTTCTGATTCTATACCACTACAAGAAAAGAAGTTTTTTAATTTCCCCACTTTACATTTTTGGAATTTTCTAACTTTTGGTATCTTTTAATCTGTTGCATTTTAAATTTATGTTTATTTTTCACTTGCTTTCTAGTGCTCAAGGTTTAAATTTCTTTCCATATTTTATTTGCTAAAATATTCAGTTATGAATTTGCTTTTGAGAAAACTTTGGCAATATTTTATATGTTTTGATGAATAGTATTTCTATTTCTGTTCCTTTTGAAAAACTCAAATTCCATTATTTTCTTCTTTCAGAATTTTACAATGAGTACTTTAAAATATATATAAGTGGTTTAATTAATTTTTATATATGTGCTTTCAGTCAGAGAATGTGAACTGTATTCTACTTTGCAGAATTTGAGGTCCTATGTATGGCTCAAATCAGTTTTGTTAGAATTTCATCGTGTGAGATATATATTATATTTTGTGGATTAAAATCACCTTGTATTACATTAGTATCAACCTTTATATCATTAAAATCTTTTAAAATCTTTCCTTTTCTTTTACTTGATCTCTGAAGTACATACAGCTTTACAGTTTTAATATAATATGTAATACAAGATAATTTTAATCTGAAGAGACTTAATATATATTCTTAAACAAGAAGTGGAAAATTAACAACTCTGTTTACACTATAAATAAAATCTCAAATTCTACAAAGCAGAACACGTATAATTAAACTTTTAAAAATATTTTTATTTATTGCATTTTTATTCCTAATTTACCTTGTCTGATATTAATATTGTGATTTCTGCTTTTCTTTTTGCATTTGTGCAACATTTTAAATTCTTTTATTTCAACCTAGATACTTTTTATTGTTTTAAATGATTCCTTCATTGCCTCATGAAAATAGATTTTTTTTCTTTTTTGACTCAGTTTAAAAATCTTCCTGTAACAATAATGTAACTCTTATATTGTTACAGTTGATATATTTGGTCTTGAGACTGTATTCTTTTTCATATCTTTTTATTCTTCCTTGTTTCCTTTTCTGAATATTTTTTATATAAACTGTGTTTGCTTCTAATCTAGTGGTTTATGGGTATAAATTCTTCTTTTTATTCTTCTAATTCTTACATTTAAGCACATGTTAAATTTGCTGCTTCCACCTCTAACCCAGAACAGGAAAAAAATTAAATTAATAAGTAGAGATTTACATTTTCAAACAACAAAAACAGAAACTTCGTATTGGCCTAATAGTGAAAATTTTTTCATAAAAATAAATAAACAATAACAACAGCAAAAAAAACCCAAGCAGCTGAGAAGTCACAAGGTTAACTGTGGTCAATATCATTAGCTAAAGCCATTTTAATAAGCTGTTGCCCCTACTTGAATATGCTCTACAGTACACTTGTAACAGTCAGAATAAGAACACTTCCCTTCATCCACCAATAGTGCTCGTGTTCTAATTCCTGAAACCTGTGAATATGATAAATTACATGTTGACATGGTTTGGGCTCTGTGTTTTCACCCAAATCTCATCTCAAATTGTAATTCCCAAGTGTCAATAGAGGGACCTTGTAGGAGGTGATTGGACCGTGGGGGCAGTTTTCCCCACGCTGTACTTGTGATGGTGAGGGAATTCTCATGAGATCTCATGGTTCTAAGGATCACTGCTTCCCCAGTGTGCTCTCTCTCTCCTGCCACCATGTAAGACGTGCCTTGCTTTCCCTTCGCTTTCAACCATAATTGTAAGTTTCCTGAGGCCTCTCCAGCCATAGTGAACTGTGAGTCAATTAATCCTCTTCTGTTTATGAGTTACCCAGTCTCAGGTAGTATCTTTATAGCAGTGTGAAAATGGGCTGATACAAATAATTGCTTTCAGCAGAGTGTGGTACTGTTATAAAGATAATCTGAAAATGTGGAAGTGACTCTGGAGCTGAGTAGAAGGCTGAGGTTGCAACATTTTGGAGGGCTCAGAAGAACATAGGAAGATGAGGGAAAGTTTGGAACTTCCTAGAGACTTGTCAAGTGATTTTGACCAAAATGCTGATAATTATATGGACAATGAAGTCCAGGCTGAGGAGGCTTCAGATGGAGATGGGGAACTTATTGGGAACTGGAATAAACGTTACTCATGCCATGCTATGGCAAAGAGATTGGCGGCATTTTGTCCCTTTCCTAGAGATCTGTGGAACTTTGAACTTTAGAGAGATGATTTAGGGTGTCTGGCAGAAGAAATTTCTAAGCAGCAAAGCGTTTAAGAGGTAACTTAGCTTATTCTGAAAGTGTTCAGTTATATTCATTCACAAAGAGATGGTTTGAAATTTGATTTTATATTTAAAAGGGAAGCAAAGCATAAAAGTTTGGAAAACTTGCAGCCTGACCATGTGTAGAAAAGAAAACCTCGTTTTCTGAGGAGAAATTAAAAACAGCTGAAGAAATTTGCATGAGTAAGAAGGAGCTGAATGGTAAAAGCCAAGACAATGGGGAAAATGTCTCCAGGTCATGTCAGAGATATTCCCAGCAGGCCCTTCCATCACAGGGCTGTAGGCCTAGGAGGGAAAAATTGCTTTGTGGGCCAGGCCCAGAGCCCTGCTGCTCTGTACAGTTTTGGGACTTTGTGCCCTGTGTCCCAGCTGCTACAGCTTCAGCCATGGCTAAAAGGGGCCAAGGTACAGTTTGGGCTGTTGCTTCAGAAGGTGTAAGCCCCAAGCCCTTGGTGGCTTCCACTTGGTGTTGGGCCTGTTAATCCATAGAAGAGAAGACTTGAGCTTTGGGAGGCTTTGCCTATATTTCAGAGGATGTACGGAAACACTTTGGTGTCCAGGCAGAAGTCTGCTGCAGGGGTGGAGCCCTCGTGAAGAACCTCTGCTACGGCAGTGCAGAATGGAAATGTGAGGTTGGAGCCCCTGCACAGAGTCCCCAGTGGGACTCTGCCTAGTGGAGCTGTAAGAAGATGGCCACATCCTCCAGACACCAGAAAGGTAGATCCACCAATAGCTTGCACCGTGTGCCTGGAAAAGCCACAGGCACTCAACACCAGCCCGTGAAAGCAGTCAAAGGGGCCGGGGTCAGGCTCATACACTGCAGAGCCACAGGGGTGGAGCCACCCAAGTCCATGAGAACCCACTTCTTGCATCACCATGCCCTAGATGTGAGACATAGAGTCAAAGGAGGTCATTTTGGAGCTTTAAGATTTAATGACTGCCTGGCCAGATTTCAGACCTGCATGGGGGCCTGTGGCCCATTTGTCTTGACCAATTTATTGGATTTGGAATGGAAACGTTATCCAATGCCTGTATCACCACTGTATCTGAGAAGTAACTAACTTTATTTTTATTTCACAGATTCATAAGTGGAAGGGACTTGCCTTGTCTTAGATGAGACTTTGGACTTGGACTTTTGAGTTAATGCTGTAATGAGTTAAGACTTTGGGAGACTGTTGGGAAGGTATGATTGGTTTTAAATGTGAAAAGAACATGATATTTGAGAGGGTCCAGGGTTGGAATAATATGCTATGGCTCTCTGTCCTCACCCAAATGTCATCTTAAATTGTAATTTCCACATGTTGAGGGAGGGACCCAGTTCAAGGTGATTGAATAATAGGAGTGGTTTCCTACATGTTGTTTTCATGATGGTGAGGGGATTCTCATAAGACCTGATAGTTTTAAGGGGGGCAATTTCTCCACACGCTCTCTCTCCTGCCACCAGGTAAGACATACCTTGCTTCCCGTTTGCCTTCCACTATGATTGCAAGTTTCCTGAGGGCTCCCCAGCCTTGTAGAACTGTGAATCAATTAAACTTCTTTTGTTTATAAATTACCCAGTCTCAGGTAGTATCTTTATAGAAGTGTCAAAATGGACGAATACACATGGCAAGGGGGAAGAAAATGAGAATTAAGGTAGCCAAACAGCTGACCTTAAAATGGGAAAATTATCCTGCATTATCTAGATGGAACCAATATAATCACAGAGATTCTTAAAATTGGAAGGGAAAGTCAGAAGAGAGAAATGAAAAGATGGCAGCCAGAAAGACTCAGTCTGGTGATACTGTTTGAAGATGAAGAAAAGGGGCTAAGAAACTTCCTCTAAAAGCTGGATACTGCAAGAAAACTAATTCTCTTCTAAAGCCTTCAAAACAAGACATCCCTGACAATACCTTGATTTTACCACAGTGAGATCCACTTCAGACTCTAATCTACAAATTGGTGAGATAACATATTTGTGTTGTTTCAAACCACTAAACTTTGGTAACTACTTCCAGCAGCCATACCACTTAACTGGAAAAAAAATCATAGTTACAGATGAAATGCTATAAAAAATATCACTTATCTGGAAAAAGAATCACAGTTATAGATGAAATGGTACAAAAAATAAACAAAACTTAGAGGTAATTGACCCATAAAAGAGAAAACACATGCACAAGAAATACAGAAAGAAATGTTTTCCAAAGAAACAAAGTTATTAGAGAAATCAGAAAATGACTTCAAAATAAGTACATTTTACATATGTAGAAAGATAATGGAGAAAATGGCATTTATGAAACAAGAACATATCACTATAAATAAATTCTAGAAGTTTTTTAAATGAAAACTGTAATTACTGATTGATATGGCTTGGCTGTGTCCCCACTCAAATCTCATCTTGAATTGTAACTCTTCTAATTCCCATGTATCATGACAGAGACCTGGTGGGAGGTAATTGAATCATGGTGGCAGGTCTTTCCCATGCTGTTCTCGTGACAGTGAATAAGTCTCACAAGATCTCATGGTTTTATAAAGGGTAGTTCCCCTGGTAGTTCTCTTGCCTGCCATCATGTAAGACATGCCTCTTACTTCTCCTTTGCCTCCATGCCATGTGGAACTGTGAGTCCATTAAACCTCTTTCCTTTATAAATTACCCAGTCTCATGAGAACTTACCCATGAGAACAGACTAATACACTCATATAAAAAACAAATAGTAATTGCACACTAGAAAAGACAAATTTGTGAGCTAAATGATCAAGCCAAAGAACTATGCCAAAATATAATAAAAAGACATTTAAAAGATGGAAATATTAAACAGAGTGAAGAAAACACTTTTATTTATTGACATGTTCTAAAGAGAATATAATCAAATATAGGAAAGAAAATGTTAAATGTAATATTTTTTCAAAAGCATAATAAATACAATGAGAAATTTTCTTTAAAAAATTTCAAAAGACCAGGCATGGTGGCTTACGCCTGTAATCTCAGCACTTTGGAGGGCCACAGAGGGTGGGTCACTTGAGGTCAGGAGTTTGAGACCAGCCTGGCCAACAAGGTGAAATTTCGTCTCTACTAAAAATAGTAGAAAACTTAGTTTGGTGTGGTGACACATGCCTATAGTCCTGGCTACTCAGGAGGCTAAGTTGGGAGAATTGCTTGAGCCTAGGAGGTCAGGGTTGCAGTGAGCAGAGATCGCAACATTGTGCTCCAGGCTGGGTGACAGAGTGAGATTCTGTCTCCAGAAAAAAAAAAAAAAAAAAAAAATTCAAAAGACACACATTTGAGGATATATTCCTCCAAAAGGAAAAAAAAAAAAAAGAAAGGAACAAAGAGGAAAGGGAATGATGAGCAAACATATAAGTAAAATAAGTATTAAATCTTAGTAAGTGTATATTATAAGAAGAGAGAACAGAAAGAGGATGCAGAGAAGGAAGAGAAGAAGATAGTGGAAGCAAGCAAGAAAGAAGGAAGTTAAGAATGTTTTTAAATAATAATCTAGAAACAAAAGTCCAGATTACAGTTAAAAAGGCAAGGGGTTTAGAGAGAAAAAAAGGAAATGAAGAAAGGGAAGAAAGATACTGATATATTATTGAATATATTTTTATAAAATACACAAATACTTGTGTTGAAAACTGAGCATAACAATGGAAAGAATAGAAATAAAATTTTCAGCTATCGAAATAAGGATGAAATGAAATTCATTCAATTCAGAAGAAGATAAGAAAACATGGAGAATGAATGGCAAATAAAAAACACAAAGTGAGAAAACAGACATCAGTAATCTCTGCTCACAATGACTGAATGAACTAGATTCTCCTATTCTCAGATCGAGATTATAGGACTGTATCAAATAAAGGAACCAAACTATCATACCTAAAATGTCTTTTGTTTTCTTTTGT
Source organism: Homo sapiens (assembly GCF_000001405.40). NCBI lineage: Eukaryota > Metazoa > Chordata > Mammalia > Primates > Hominidae > Homo > Homo sapiens. The sequence continues at coordinate 98,139,770 of NC_000006.12, read as the reverse complement.
ATTTCTTTTTTAAATTATTTTTCTAAAAGTTTTGTATAGTAGGTGTATATTTTTATGAGGTACATGAGATGTTTTGATACAGGCATACAAAGTGAAATAAGCACATCATGGAGAATGGGGGTATCCATCCTCTCAAGCATTTATCTTTTGAGTTATAGACAATCCGATTATACTCTTTAAGTTATTTTAAAATGTACAGTTAAGTTATTATTAACTATAGCCACCCTATTGTGGTATCAAATAGCAGGTCTTATTCATTCTTTTTAACTATTTTTTGTATCCATTAATCATTCCCACCTCCCCCCAATTTCCTCTGTCTGCCATTATACTTCCCAGCCTCTGGAAACCATCCTTCTACTCTCTATGTTCATGAGTTCAAATAGTTTTGATTTTTGACGCCACAAATCAGTGAGAACATAGAATTTTTTCTTTTGTATTCCTATGGAAGAATATGTGTACACAAATAGCCAAGAAATGAATGATGAAAAAACAAATATAAGGTATTTTTCCACGATTCATCTAGACATAAAGTAAAGCTTTATGTCTATATTATATAACAATTATGTGGCATTGGAACAGTAATAAATAGATCAATGTAACAATTAGGTAGTAACACACACATACAAGAATATAGCAAGTAATAAAATTTCAAAATAGTGAGAAACAGGAAAAATGTTTCTTGAATTATCCATATGTTAGTATTTTTAAAATTTTGATTGTTAGAAGCTAATCTGTCTCTGGCTAAATCTTTTGGCTTAAGAACAAATTTGTTGAGACAAATGGATCTTATATTCAAGATACGTACACATTTATTTATTTATTTAACTATGAATGATAACATTATGTTAATATCATATGAGTCAAGTGAAATTTTTCCATCTTTATACTACTGGGTGAATTATGTGGGAGTAACTATGCTGGCAAGACACGAGAGTAATATATAACAATAATAATATTGCTAATTACATTGCTGTAATAAAGACATAATAAAAATGCTACCAGCTCTTCTGTAGCATAGGTTGTCCTTAAAGCATTGTAAACAGAGATATCATGGCTATTAAGAATTAGTGTTGATGTATGATATTATGATGAAGAGTTAGTCTGACAAACACTGGCCCAAGTGAAAAGAAATACGTTAAATTACTCTTACAACCATTGCTATATCTCTTCAATATGGAAGCTTTGTGTCCTAATTTTTATTCATGTCAGTAGCAGAGGGCACATTTGTAATGAAATGATTTTACCTGAACATTATTCTCTATTCTTTACCTTTTTGACTAATACGCCCCAAATATGAAATTGTTTCAGAAGATACCTTAACATATCTAGACACAAATATAAACCCTTCAAAAATGTCCAAAAAAATTTAACTTAGTAATTATTTTTGTGAACCCTTAAATGTTTCAATACATTGCTGGCAGTCTACAAAACTGTTTTGATTTATTTTTAAAGAATCATATTTATTATCAAATACAGGACTTCGTATTCTACCAGCAGGGTAGTTGGGTTGGCAGTAACAAAAACCAAGTTTCCTAAAGTGATCTATAGGCTCCCATATTTCAGTGTATAACTTTGGAAGTTATGGAATACCAGATGCACATTACTTTTGCCTCATAAAGCTTTGGCCTGGACACATTGTAGCTTCTAAAATCTACCTAACAAATATAATGGCTTCCTCATTTCTTTTTAATTATTGCAAATAATTGTTATAAACCTAGATTTAATGAAAATCTCGTTAGTTTGTGGGTATCGAGTGAATAAAAACCAAAACCATTTGCAACTAATTCATTACACTGTACAAATTTTTTCCTGATTCTGATATAATGATGGCAGGGAATATGACAAACCTTCATTTTACGATAAAAAGCACAACAATGAGGTTATTTCTACGCACTTACCCTAGATTCCTTTTTCGGTCACTTTCTGTAATATTTTATTAAGTAAAACTCCTTTTAAAGCAAGGCATTCTAATCTCCCCCCAAATCTAAATTTATTCCCACCCTCATCCCTTAAGAAAAGCCATCTCACACTTTTCTCCAGAGAGTAACTACAAAGGGTTAAAGAAAATCTACCCTGACAATACTAGAAACAATTCTCTCGGTGTGTGTTGGTTCACTGCTCCACAGGGCATAGCAGATGTTGTGTCTGGTAGTAAGAAGGGCCCAGGAGGTGTGGGCTGTCAATCACATGTTTGCTTTTTTTTTCCCTTAACTACAGGCTATGCTATGGATATGAAGCCCAACTAAAACAATCTGCCTCAGCTGGGGTGTGTGAGGTATCAATAACCCTTGGCAGAGGTGTCAAGAGCCTTGCTGGAACTCAACTACCCTGCTGACCAGATGCTTAGCAAGTTAACAAGACTCTGAGCATTCACCACTTTTTCTAACACAACAATTAACACAACTGGAAAATCACTGCACTGATTATCTGAAGAAAAAAAATCTCACCAAAGTTGCCTTTTATGGAACAGAGGCAAATAATAAATACTGGACCACACTGGGAAGAGAATTTTGAAGTTTTAAGCTGGGCAGGTGCTATGGCTCAATAAACAAGATGAGAGAAACTGAAAAGTAAAAATCTTATCAAAAGTATTTTCTCAGTATACTCATATACATTTCTGAGTACATTAAAACTATTTCAATCTTACCCTTACAAATATGATGTTTTATCTTTGGAAATAACTGAGGCTAACACATTTTCTCATAAGAGATCAAGACTAAAACTTGGTTTAAGAATAGAATCTAAAGAGCTAAAGTTTTACTAAAGTGGATAATATTAGTCAGCATCTATATATATAAGAGCATATTCAGAAGTTACTCATTGAACAACATTTAGATAGCTATAAAACCTGGATAAAGCAATCAAGTTACTTGATTTTTTAAAACTAATCTTTAAAAGAGTGTATACGAAATTGTTTTTTTTTTAACCTAAATATATATTTTGTTTTTCAAGTTATATCACCTTAAGGTCATTCCCTTTCCTCTCATTCATAATTCTATTAGATTGCAATTATATACTTTTTCTGGAAAAATAAATAACTTACATACTATTCCTAGAAAAATATACGGTATGCAGGAAAATGTGAATATTAGCATTAAACAATTTAATGTTGTCTTTGCTTTGAAATTCAATAATGCCATCAGCCTGTAAGACCTCTTAGAGCCTAGCATTTCACACAGTGAAAGCTGCTTTCTGTTACAAAAGCACAGCAGCTGTGACTCCCGCAGATACCCTTAAAGACAGATATAATAAAACACTGGGAGGGAGTAGGTCGACACAGGAGCATGAAATGGACGAGATGAAGCCCCTTTGTCACAGCCAAACAGGCTATAAAGTTACTATAGTAACATACAGTATTAAACTCCAGGTGGATTGACTTAATCTTCCTCAAACAAAAAATAAAGGTTAACAAAAACCAAACCAATAATGATTACAATCACTCTACCCAAATATTTTTCAAGAAGTTCTTATTTTTTGGTTTACTCTGGATAGGTGAAGAACAGGGTACACTGGCTCATGTTCTGATTTGAAGAAACAACCCCAGAAGTTCAGGGTGTGGCTAAAGAAATGCCTTTTTAAAATATTTGAATACATCCAATGACTTGAGTTGCAAGAAAATCAAAGTGATGAGAGAACAATTAGACTATATGGATTCTCAAACCTAATATTTTTTCTATGTTCATCACATTATTGTCAAGTGGAGACAATTTAAGTGATAATGCCTCTGGATCCAGTCCTAAATTCATGGAAAATTCAGCAGCCTTTTCTGAACTTTGGTTGAAGAGTTTCAGGCCCCATCTGTTTTAATCTACGTTTTCAGGAAGAGAATAATGACTTATGACATAAGGTATAATAAGTATGAAATAAGAACCAAGGAACTAGCCTGTGGAACATAAGACAAAAAGTAGAAAAAACAAGGAAATGAAAAATCACAAATTGAATTCTAATTTTTAAATTTCATTAAGGAAGTATACCTAAGAGTTTAGGAGATACAGTAAACTCTTAGAGTATATGTCAAGTCCTGCTTATTCCTTCTTGTAGGTATAGGACTTGCTATTATTTTGCTGTGATAATTGTTTTATTTATAAACCACTCTTGTAAGCATAACTTCTGGAACACTTTATTCTACCCAAACACTCTCTCTCACACACACACACATGCACACGTGCACACATACACAAAATATTATCTGTTTTGCTTTAGTAAATATCCATTTTTATAGCTCTATTTTCAAATGTTGAATTTTATGTTTTAAATGTAGATGAAGACTTGCAATGATAAATAAAACTTAACATGTGCATTTGCATTTTGGATTAATCCAATGATCACTTAGATTGCTCCTTTCAAATACTGCTCTAATGATCTGAAAGAGTTAAGAGACTTGCTCTGAACCTTAATTTATGCCATGGAGTTAGGCACCAGGGCAAGCTGGACTCAATAAGAATATTTTTAGTAGGATTTAGCTAACAGTGTGAGCCATACCTTTAATGGATTTAGTTTGGGTAAACAACCTTTGTCTAGACAGTCCAAATGTCACAGGTATTGGTGCTCATTTTAAGTGGTAACTTCTATGCAAATAATTGCAAAGTTGCATTTCGTTCTCTGTACTGATATTTTATGAATTAAGGTTTTTGACTGTATCAATAGCTGAATGTATACTCTTAAATCATAATTTTAGTTAAAGTTGTTTTTTTTAACTGGTCACATACTTGACAACATGGCAATAATTAGGTTTCAGATTGCACTCTCTGAGTTTTTTGATGTGATTGCTGAGGGCTGCTAAAGATTTTTAGTACTATTAGCTATAGAAAAGATCTGAAAAGGAAGAGTTGATGGACAGCAGATTTTTGGGGAAAGTACAGAGCAGAATTAGTGTTAAAAGATGAACAAATACAATCATAGTAGGAAAGAGTAAGGAAACTTATTTAAGTAAAGATATTTATTAATTAGACTTGTTTGATATATCCATGAATATAAGAAATATGAAATGTTGTGAACTAGAACAGAGCTATATTATTTTTTACAGGTGGATTAAATTTAGTCACCTTTCTTGTATTGATAATTGATAACTAATGATATCTTATATTTTTAATTAAAGATCATATGACCTTTACCTACTTATGCTTAGATTCATCCGTAAAATATTTGCTGTTTACCTTATTACATTGTTGAAGAATCTTAAGAAAGGAGAAAGAAAAACCTCATTCTTGATTTGTCGAACTATTCAAACTAATACGTAGATTGGGATGTTAGAACGGCAAATGTAATTCGCATCTATCCAGAGGCCTAAAATTTTGAGCATTGCACAAAACTATCCATAGGGATAGATTAATGAACTTTTAAATTTCACTCATGTTATAATAATACTTCATGCTTAGTTGAGGTTTTTCATAGTTTCTAAAATTCTAGTTAAGAAAAATATGATTAATTCATTCCTTATATATAAAATTATAAATTCATAATTTTATATAGGTTGAAACAATTTCAAATCATTAACGGTAAATTGTGAAAAATTCAGTAAATTCTGTCGCTAATACAAGTTATAAAAATAAGAGTAAGATTAGGTAAAGGATCTCTTTGCAAGCATATAATTTCATTCTAAGTGGGAATGTACTTAAAACTCTTAGTATTGGATAAAGTTTTTGCTTTAATATTAAAATATTGAATTACTTATGCATGCAAATTTATATTTTCCATTATTTTAATTTTAAGAACAAGAGTCACCTGAAGTAGAATTTATTTTATTGGTTGATAACATCGGAACCACCTTACCCAAAAAAAATACAAAATAAAAGGGATATGAGATCCAGAGCAAAAACCATTGCATTAAATGTTGACTTAAAGGAGAATAAGTCACTGGTAATTCTATTTGTATATTGCATAATCTGTTATTTTGTTTTCCCTTCAGTATGCAGTCCACATTTTACCAGAAGAGCTGTGGGGTTCAAACTAGTAATTAAAAACCCGGGACTCTAATAACTTTGACAAATATAGTAGGTCCATTCCATTGCATAAGTTGCTCATAGAGAAAAAAATGGATTTTTAAAGATAAATTAGTTTAATTCATAAAAATTCACATAACAGATAATAGTTCATACAGATTAGTTCTGCCATCTTCATTCAGAGAAGCAAACAGGAAAAAGAGAGGAGGCTACAAGTCATGTTTTTAGTGCTATCAGCTGGAAAGTGTGTCAGACTCTTAAAATTGCTGTAATTTTCACCTCAGGAACCCCAAAGAGCTCAGTAAACCATCCAGGATGAAATCCACAACAATCTGTAAGTCCAGCAGCCTCCCCACAAACCCTGCAGGGTACCTGAGGATGCCCCAGACTCTCCTGGCATCCTCAATGACTTGATTTTGATCTCACTGAGCATTCATTCCATCAGAATAACAGAGCCACCCTCCTCAGATTCTGTATCTGGATAAGAAAGAAGAAGAATCAGAAACAACCAACCAAAGCCATTAAGACAATTTATATAAAGAACAACTGTTTTAATGACCCTGCAGATTGTACCCCAAGTTCCCTGTCTTCAAAGGAATGATATGAGCTGGAAGTTCTAGTCTGCTAATGAGCAAAAACCATCTTTATGTAAACATATCTATGCTTTGTACCATGGATACCTTATGAGCACACAGCAAAGAGTGGTTAAATATGCTTTATTTCTGTATTAATAACATTTAGTAAGGTCAGTAATAATCACTTACCTTAACATTTTCAAGAGACAAAAGCTTCTCCAAAAGCTGTTGCTATTGTCTAACTGTATCCACATCAGAAATAAAGCTCGGGAATCTCATAATGATGGAAGCTGCAATTATTGTCATTTTAATTTTCTTTTTTATTTCCAAAAAATAGACATGGGTTTTACAATGATTTTTGCACAAAATATGAAGCAAAATTCATTTAGTGAACAAATTGTTCTCTAGATACTTCTAAAAGCAGAATTAACATTATCTTTTGTAAAAATATCATAATGTCCATAGCTCTGTTTAAATGGAGATACCCTATCGTCAAAAACTTTTTAAGGAAATTCTGTTAACTAACTGATGACTTCTATTGATGGACCATTCCAATTTTCAATCTTCTCTAAAAATATGAAGCTTTTAAAGTGGGTGTAAGACATTTAAACAACCACCACATTCAAGAGAGAACACTGTTTTTCCTCTTTGTTATGGAATACAGCCTCTACGTCACAGTTAACCTTTTAGATAATGGTCACTAAATAGTGAACATTAGTTTTTAAATCCCTCAAAATACGTGAAGATAGTAGGATAATAATTTCTGAATGAAATCTGAAGTCCCAATTGCTTATCTATGTTTGCATTATATAAAATCAATTATCCTTAATATTGCATGTAATTTATAATACATTAATAGCTTATTAGAATGTGAGCCCCATGGGGACAGTGCCTGTATCTGTTTATTCATTCCTCCATTTCAGTGATCACAATAGTGCCTGGCACATAATAGATACTCAGTGTTTACTGAATAAACAAATGATGAAATTACTACATTTGACATAATTTTCTGTAGCTGTCTAAATATATGGAAAGGAATAGATATTTTATTTCACATTTCAGCTCAGTTAAATAAATTGAAATATACTTCGGGAAACAGGTTTAAATGATTCCTCCTTGATGAATGTAGAACTTACAGAAAGCATATACAAAGTGTGTAATTTTCTTTTTTTGTTTATAAATTAATGCTCTCTCTTTGTATATATATCACTTGGCCATTGTTAAATGACAATTGAGAGATAAAACCATTAAGAAAAAGATTGCATACTTGTTTACACAAGCAAACTATTTATAAGGGAGTCTTGAAAAACTGTCTCTCTGAACACGGTTTGAAGCAGGTATGTAAAGGAAAATAAACACTCACAATACAGGGTTTCCAAAGTTGTATTCCGCCTGTCAGCAATAGGGAAAAAAACAGTTGTTTTCTCTAATGATTATCATATTTGCATGAGTCTGTACCTAACTGTAGGTATCAGTACTGCAGAGTCATGATTCACTTTTCCTAGGAAGTTGGCAACTTCAGGGAAAGCACTAAAGCCTTCATTGATTTGGGGACTGGTGGGTTCTTGTTCAGTTTGTTTTAGTTCATCCATTAATGAAATGGTTTTTGTTTGTATGTGTGTTTTGTTTTCATTTCTGACTGTGGTATAATGTGCCTAGTCATCATGGAGGCAGGGCAAGATGTGAATTTTGCTTTTCAACTAGAATTTCGTGACCAGAAAATGAATTATTCAAAATGTATTTATTTCAGGCCTCATGTAAGTCTATCTGTTCACCATACTCTGAATGTTTTACTCAGCCTGCCTCAGACATGCTGCTTTGTGCAAAAAAGAATAAACTGGGTGCTTTAGATCTGTTCCCTAGCAATCGCTTAGGACTCTTCTGGAAGAGACTACTGGAAACGCCATGCCCACCCTGCCCACCCCTTCCCCAACTCCACCTCAGTGCCAAACAGCTCTCAGTCCTGCTTCTGGAATCTCAAATCTGCCCTCCAGGGGTTTGCTCCCCGGAGCAAGTGCATTAACCTCTCTGAACCTCTGTTTCCTCATTTATGAGACTATGATTTAAAACTTATTTACAGGATTTTTGTGAGAATTCCATATAATTGATATAAACAAGTTATGACTGTAACCTCCCCACAAAAGTTATTCAGTTAATACATATTCTCTGCATGTTTATTTTCCTATTTTTAGCCTGTTCTTCTCTTTTTACTTGTCATTTAGACATGATTTATAGATTGTAAAATGCTTATTTTTCCCAAAACACTTGAGCCCACATTCACTTTTTAACTCTTGCTTGTCATTGCCTTGGGGGAACACTTCTCTTGAATCCAAGTCCCAAGACCAGGCCATCTTCTGGTTGTTGCTGCTCTCTAGACCCCTAGAGAGGCAATTCTGATCTGACATATTGTGGCTTTAATGACTGAGACAGTCTCTTTTAGCTATGATTTCAAATTTTGTCTCTGATATTGCCTATCTCTTCCCTGGTTTCCTCATCTGTAGAATGTGGAAATTCTCTTACAGCATCACAGGGAATAAATTAAATAATGCACACATGCTTTTTAGCATAGTGTATGGCATGTGAAATGCGATAAAAGGTGATTCTCCTTATAATTAAAGAAATAGAAATTAGTGCCCATAACACTGTGTATTTATATAATAAAATTCTTTCCAATTGCCCTACAAGATGAGTGAAGCAAATCTGTAGAAAGTATATTCGTTTCTCAAATATTTTATTTCGCTTCTACGAAAAACTAAAAAAGGCTGGGTGCAGTGGCTCACACCTGTAATCCCAGCACTTAGGGAGGCCGAGGCAAGCAGATTGCCTGAGATCAGGAGTTAGAGACCAGTCTGACCAACATGGTGAAATCCCATCTCTACTAAAAATACAGAAAAAATCAGCCGGGTATGGTGGCGTGCTCCTGTAATCCCAGCTACTCAGGAGGCTGAGGCAGGGGAATTGCTTGAACCAGGGAGGTGGAGGTTGCAGTGACCTGAGATCGTGGCACTGCACTCTGGCCTGGGCGACAGAATGAAACTCCATCTCAAAATAAAAAAAAAAAGAAAAACTAAAAAATACATTTGTTTGGCTCACAGATGTTAATGATCTGGGGAAACTTTGATATTTAATGAAAATTGTTTCCTAGAATTTGTGCCTGTGGATTATTTTTTAATATAGCATAGGTTAGGCAGGACTAGGGTTTTATAATTACTGGCAATATCAAGGAAAATAGATCTAGATCATTTTATCTATAGTACTATGAAGTGTTATAAAATGAATATAATAAGCATTGTAATAGCTATGAATGTATATGTCAGTTTTTAAATTATTATTCCTATTATAATAATGAACTTGAAAATTATGTTTTATTATTGAGTCCATCTAGAAAAGGATTTCAGTGCCTACCCTAGTTTAAGGCTTATATCATTTGCTCAACAAATGTTTGTTGAATGAACAAAACTGTATAGAATACTTATGTAGAAATTTCTGGAGGATAGAGTTATTCCAAAGAATTCAACAAGAATGCTTAGCCAAGGACATTCCTCTATATAAAGAGATTTCACCATTCAAGATAGTGACTGACAAAACCTCCAGGAGTAAGAGAACCCTACCAGTCGGGTACTACGAGTTTCCATTCAGGTTGTGATGGCAAGCCTTCAGAAAGAACTAGCAAATCAAACAAAGGAAGAACACAGTCACCACAAAGCATTTTACTGCTCTAGTGGAACTGTGTGATGCCCTGAATTTCACCTGCATTGACACTTGAAAATAGAACTTTCATGGAATGTTTCAAATAAAATAATGTATAACAAAAGTTGCCGTCCTCGCTTTGCCACTGGTTTATTTGTAACAAATCATTCTTTACGCAGGAGAAAAGGAGTGAGTGGCAAGTGAATGTGTGCAAGAATATAGCATTGGGATGACTGAGTTTGTTTAAAAATCGAATATCACGTCAGCTAGCAAATTTATCATAAACGTCTTTTCTGTGCTTTCAAATTATAAAAGTTATCAATTCTTTTTTTGAACAAATTTGGCTGAAAAGTAAATAAGACTACTAAGGGAAACTGCACCTTAATGCATATGGAAGGGAAAATTTCTGTTTGCATGAAGAAGCCATTGGTCAATCTTCTCAACTAGGCAAGAGTAGCTGGATCATAGAATCATAAGTTTTTATTGTCTGACCAAGAATATAATGGAATCTCATAGAGGCATTTTTTTTTGGTTGTTGCAATGATTTGGGGCACTTTTAGCTTTATATTGGATAGAGGCCAGGAATGCTGGATAGCCTCCAAAGAATATCCCTGAGTCCTCAAAAATTTTTTAAAAAAATTATCAAGATACTTATATGGGTGTGAATGGCACCTAGAGCACAGCTTAATTTTACAATTAAATTCAACTATTATTTTTACAGTTTTAACGTAATTGGAAGTTTTCAGAAATTGAGCCATTTTATACAATAATAGAAGTATGTCCTTCACTTTTTCAGACTGATTAAAAGTACTTAACCATTGAAGAACATATTCAACACCTATGGTGATGCCATTCCCACTTGAATCCCTGCTACAACACACCTGAGTGGGTCTGCTTTTGGCAGCTGTGGCTTCCATACATAGGTGCAAGCATATGAAAGACAACCACTGATGCAGCCTTACAGGAATGTGACTTAAAGTAATGCACAGAGAAAGACAGAGAGAGAGAGAGAGAAAAAAAAAAGAAAGGCTGGCTCTTAGCAGAGGTGAAATGACATAAATGTTACCATATACTTCTTAATCTACGTTCCAATATAGACAGAACAATTAAATAACATGTTCCCAGGACACCATAGTTTGTAGCTCTTGGGGCTCTGGTGTTTTCACCAAAAAGACTCTGGCTCTTTCACAGAAATTTTACTGCTTGGCCCCTTCAGCAGTTTCCTTTTTTGTCTACCATTCTAGAGCAGAATTGAGAATCATTTTCCTGCCTTCATTGCCTGTGAACTTCTCTCCTTGAGTAGCAAACCTTATAAGGCTGCTCTTATAGCTTCTTCATGTGCAGGAAATACTTCAAGCTGAAGATTATATTAAGGGCCAAGTGACTGTTCAGTATAAATTTTCTCAGTGTATGTTGCCTAAGTATGCATGTGTTTGCAAGAAAAACTATGCCAGTCAATATGTTGAACACTGGCACACTGAATGCAGTCAAGTTTCAGGGTTTTAAGAAACATCTTTCTGGTCTTTCATTTTATTGTCTGTATCTTGCAATGTGACAATGCATATAAACTGCTTAGCACAGAGCCTAGTACAAAGTAAAAGCTTTAACTTGTCAATTATTGTTATACTCTTATTATTATCAGCTATTACTTGTTACTCTTCTAGATATTCAATATAAAAGTACATTGCAAATTGATGCCATGAAAGAAAGATAGTTTAATTTTTGCAAGTCTCATAGAGGAATTAAAGTTCTTTTAACAGGAAAGCATAAAATGACAGTTGTAATATATGTAGATTTCACTCATGAATGGTTATAATAATGAAGTAGAAGTCAAAACTACATAGACACTCTAGGTTCTACTAGCTGTTTTAGTTCCTAAGATGAACTCTTTAATTCTCTCCTCTGTAAATAAAAGTTAAGGTTTCCAAAGTACTCATGATTGTTTCTAAATTATCTTAATTGTAAGAGCTAAATGAAAATTAGAGAAGCATAAGAAATAATCCAGAAGAAATAGAGTATGATGTGATGGTTTTTACTGTAGTGTAGGCTTGAGTTCTGGTTTTGATTTTGCCTTAATTTACAGCGTCATTTAGAGACTTGGCTAAGAATTTCTTTTTTTCAAGAGTCAGGCTTCATGGCGACAAATGGCCCTGAAAAACAAAGCATGTGCTAGCACCAGCAATGGGATAAGTTCTCTTTTTCACTAATATAACCCAAGAGGCATTATTCAATTATGGCTACTTGTTCACCAAATTAGTGTGCACAATACAGACTTTTCTCAATCAAAATATCTCCAGTAAGATCTTCAGATGACCCTTAAGTTTAATCATCTATATTTGATTTAATTTGAGATTTCTGAGAAATAACTGAAGTGATTTCAAGATGTTCCCAATCAAAATTGCTTTAGGATAACAGTGTGAACTACATCAGGAACTGTCCCTGCTGGCCAGATGTGGCCTAGTGCCAGGTTCAGGAGCTCTGGGAGATTCGGAATACTGGGAGTCTGTCTTTCACGGAAGCTGATATTGCTTACAAGGATAAACAGGTCATTGATGTATTGACCATGGACTATTGCCACAATGCAGAGCTATGATATTTTTGAAAGTCAGTTGTGAGAAAGCACAATGAAAAAATAAGCAAAATTTCCTAAGTCCTCCTGAGAATGCAACAAATCAATTCAGTGATTTTCAAGGTCTCTGCAGGACAAAAATTTCAAATTGTACGTGTGTTTTTGAATTCTTAGAATGAGAAATTTCCTATGTTGCAAAATGGCATTGTTAACATGCTTTTAGAAGAAGACAGTTTAATTATAGGTAATATACACAGGAAAAGTTTTTCTTTTTCATATAGGTACTTCTACAAACTTAAGTAATTCAAAAGAAAGTTTACCCATCAATCCAAGCATATAAACTGCACTTGAGAAAAAAAGTCATTTACCCTCTCTAAGCAGAGGCAAAAGTATAATTAGGAATATTTCCTCATAATACATTTTAATTATCATTGACCAATAATAACATTTGGATGCTGTGGTGTATTCTCTCCCTCATGTGTAGTAAGATTAAATTCAAGTTTCAATCCATTTCTTGTCAAGTCCAACTCCCATTAGTAAGAGTTAAAAGCAGCTGTATCAAGCAGCTTTAACAATGAGGATATCCTTAAAAATATGAATTACATACATTTGCCATGAGATAGATGTGATAGGAATTCAGACTTTATTGGCATCTACTCACTATAGTTCTTATAAGTGCACTCTGTTATGTGGATAATACATGCCACATTTTCTGCAGTTTGATCATTTTAAAGTATACAGTATAAAGATACTGACTGGTCTTTATGCCCAACATATAAATTAACATTTCATTTAATAATGATAACTTAGAATCATGATACACTTTATAATTTACAAATCAATTTTACATTGGTAATCTCATCTTAAAATTTTGTCTCAAAAACAGATTTTTAATAAGATTCTAATGTTATGAAAACTGCCCATTTTCTCCAAGTCTGGATTTTTTTCCAAATGTATTAAATTATTTTGAAAAAGATAATTTTAAATTAAATAGATAACTCTCCAGGATGAATCACCAGTTCTGTCCTTCCACATTTTAAACTTTTACCTTTTTTGAAGATTTCTTCCACCATTAAGAATATGTCTTATGTGGATTTTCTTGCAATATCAAAGCAAGAGAAGATTGTATAAGACTTTTTGCCAGATTAATGACATTTGCAAAAATGATAGATAAAATAAAAATGAGCCTAGTCACTAGGAGTTTCAGATTCTCATTTTCAGTTAAGCATAATGTATGCAGATTAAAAAGAAAAATCATAATAAATTAGCTTTATAACCAGCAAGAATTCTAAGTGGGTTAGTAGACTATGCTTACTCCATGCCATTTAACAATGACAACATTGTGCAATATTTTCTTAATTATACCAAAGCAAGTGTTTTAAAAAATCACTGGCTTTCTCAAGTTTCTGATGCTTGCCCTATCGGCGGAAAGGGAAAAACAAGAAAGGAAACATTTCTTAAAAAGCCACTTTGGTAATATCTGAGACAACACCATTCTTATTTCACTGGGATTTCATTTCATTCCTGTAGGTTTAACATCTCACTGCATGAACAAAGAAAATATCATGCAAAAAGGGCTTCAGGCTAGCTACTTCCAAAAGGATTCAACCTTTCTAGTGCTATCAATATCATCCATACACCCACATAGTTAGCACTTTTGAATACATTTACTGAAAACCATTAATAAAGCAACAATCTTAGTCTGGTTCTTAACCATGTGTCAGAGTGAAAGAAGTTCATGTAAATCTGTGAACTGCACGACAATGATCAAATTAACAGTCATTTCAAGAAAAAATGCCCCTCAGGCTGAAAAATAATTAGTAGTCTCTCACTATCTTTTCCTCCTAATAAAAATCACGATATTATTGTTGACTGTGCTAATAAAACACCTCCCGTGACCCTGATGCAGCTTGATGTAAAATGTAAGGACTGTTCTATTGTGCAGTCTCACACATGTTTTATTGAACATTTCCACTTGGCTCTTCATCTGGGAACACACAGGCCCATAGAAGCTGAAGAACTTTTGTCACAGTGTAATGCAACTCTCACTTGTTTATTGCTGCAGTTAATAAAACACCCACTTTGAAATTTATTATCTTTGAAATTTAACTTTTAACTGCAGAAACTGAATATTCAGAGCTTCGTATATAAGCAGGGATAAGAGAAAGAGACAGAAAAAGCCAACAGAGAGAATCCAGTGCGTGCATAAAGCAGCCCAAGGTTGGCATATATGTAGCCATAAATGTCAAGTCCTGGATTTTGACTTTTAGGAAAACAATATTGAGAAAGTCTTAATGGTCAGAGGTTGTTCAACATATTTTCCATCTGGTTATTTATACTCACACCAAGATTACCTTTTGAACGCTTTTGTGCAAAACAATAGTGGAGGTCTATGAGGGACAGAAAGAAGTTAAAAAGCATAATTCCTGTTCTCAAGGAACTTATCAAGGATATGACACATTGGGTTTCTGCACTGAAGTGGATGATGAGCTAATGTTGGTTAATAACATTTCCAATATACAAGCTGAGGATAAAACGTCAGTTGTCTTTATAAAAAAAAAATACATAAACCTGAGAAAGTCAGCAAACTACTGAAGCATGTGACTCAGAACATTAAATAGCATCTATATACTGATAGCATGATTCATAAGAAACTTGGTTTCAGGAATCAACATGATTCAACAAAGGCATCTGGAGGTGGTGAGATGAATAAGATATTGTCTTTTCCCTGAAGTGGTTTGGTGTTCAGGAAAGGAAAATTCATCACTATCGCTAATTATAATATAAACCAGAATATGGCCAGTTGTTCCAGTGACTATTTACTCTATAGCAGAATATTTTCATTGTGCTTTTGTAAATTCTTAGAATCAAGTCTTTGAAGTAATCAATGATACAAATGTTTCTTGGAAAAAGCTGAACATGTTCAGGCATAATTTTAAGGAAATATGTAAGTGTCAAACATTATCAGAAAAGATATAGTAGTTAACAGCAGAGAGTAAGCAATTGGATAATGAAAAGAAATGTCAAGCTTTTTGTTGATATTACAAGAATATATATGAAAATATACATTTTCCAAGAGCAAAGAAAATTTTGTTTTGCCTAAGTTTTACGGAAGGGACATCTCAGAATTCCTCTAAACCCCTCTTTTTCAAAGTGAGCTCCACTCTACAATTAAAAAAAAAAGTTTTAAAGGTTCAGTAAGTCTGGAAATACTAGATAAGCCAAGTTAAACATCTCTAGAGCTTTAATATGGTCACGTGCATTGTGGATCTCTAGGAGAAAACATTCCTCTAACAGAGCATCTCAAAGGACTGTAGTTCCACGGACCAAAGCTTGGACATAGCAACATCTGATGGTAGATGGGAACAAAAGCAGACTCTCAGCTCCCATCCCTAAAAGGTGGAGCCTAGAAGTCTTTACTTTTAAGACTCTTCAGGTGATTTCAATGTAATTATCTAGTATTGAACCTTGAACGGATATTTGAGAGTCACTGCTACTAAAGGTAAGACTTTACATTTAGATACTACAGGTGATTCAAGATTTATGAACATTAGTTTTCTTTTTTTTTTTTTTTTTTGAGGCAGAGTCTCGCTCTGTCACCAGGCTGGAGTGCAATGGCACCATCTCGGCTCACTGCAACCTCCGCCTCCCAAGTTCAAGCGATTCTCCTGCCTCAGCCTCCCAAGTAGCTGGGACTACAGGTGCACACTGCCACACCAGGCTAATTTTTGTATTTTTACTAAAGACGGCGTTTCACCATGTTGTCCAGGATGGTCTCAATCTCTTGACCTTGTGATCCACCCGTCTCGGCCTCCCAAAGTGCTGGGATTACAATTAGCTTCAATATAATAGTAGGCATTAAAGCATTATTTCAGAAAGCCTTTCAATAGAGAGATGAAAGTAAATGCTTTTCATAAATACCCTTTGCTGGAAAAAGGCAAATCTTTCATTTCTCGGGCTATGGTCTACTTTACATCATAACGATGTGAACATTTTGAAAAGAAAGAGGAAGGAATTTCTGAATGTCAGTGCTCAACAGATCTGGCTAATTATACTTGGCACAATTATTGTCTATACTGCTTGTTGCTTCTTTCAGCATGGGATGAGTTACCCCTCAGTTTTCTTTTCTTTCTTTTCTTTTTTTTACAAAGCAAAAAACACCTCTACCTCTCTTTATTTCCCTGGCTCTAAGTAGCCAAGTGCTTAGTAAAGAGAATCAAGCAGAGGCATGCCATTGCTTTAAATATTATGAGCTGCTGGGTGTCCAAATACTACATTCTGTCCTATGCAACTTTCATTTATATGATACACAGGCTGTTTTATTTTTTTAATTTAAATTTTTTTTTTTTTTTTTTTTTTTTTTTTTTGAGACGGAGTCTCGCTCTGTCGCCCAGGCTGGAGTGCACTGGCGCGATCTCGGCTCACTGCAAGCTCCGCCTCCCGGGTTCACGCCATTCTCCTACCTCAGCCTCCTGAGTAGCTGGGACTACAGGCGCCCACCACACCCGTATTTTTAGTAGTGTTAGCCAGGATGGTCTCGATCTCCTGACCTCGTGATCCACCCGCCTCGGCCTCCCAAAGTGCTGGGATTACAGGTGTGAGCCACCTTGCCCGGCCAGGCTGTTTTGATAAACTTTTCACTCTTTGAATTTTGCAACTTAAGTTTCAGCAAAAAATAACCCACAAAGCTGATTTTAAATAAAAGCAGATGGAACTGTCAAAGAAGGCCAAATGCAAGAAGCAAAAGGAAAAGTGTGTATTTTCTGAAAAAGTAGTCCATAAATTATTTTCATCTACCTCTCTCATGAAAGGTGTGCTTTGTGTGACCAATGTTGTCACACAGCAGCACATAAGATGGTATTGACACTGATCCTTCTAAAACAAATCAAGAGTAATGCCACAACTATTAGGATAATTTAACAAAAGAATTGTTGCCATTGGTCCTAACAGGCAGTCAGAGTTTTCTTTGTAATTCTAGCATTCTATATGTACAACACTGACAAAACTACAAGTTCTCTTTAGAGAATTTTTGTGCTTAGGAATCAGTGTAATTTTGAGTCAAGCATAAATCAACATAGATTGAAACCTGGCATCTCTCCTGAGTTGTTAAAGGGAGTTATAATGCATTTATTTAAAATCAATACTTAACTTCAGTTGTTGTTGTTTTTTTTTTTCTTTTGTTTGTTTGTAAAAGTGATACTGGTATATTGGTAATGCACTTTTTTTTTTTTTTTTTTTTTTGACAGAGTCTCCCTCTGTCACCCAGTCTGGAGTGCAGTGTCATGATCTCTGCTCACTACAACCTCCGCCTCCCAGGTTCAAGCAATTCTCCTGCCTCAGCCTCTCTAGTAGCTGGGATTACAAGCACGTGCCACCATGCCCAGCTGATTTTTGTACTTTTAGAGAGACAGGGTTTTACCATGTTAGCCAGGCTGGTCTCGAACTCCCGACCTCAAGTTATTTGCCCGCCTTGGCCTCCTAAAGTGCTGGGATTACAGACATAAGCCACCATGCCCAGCCGGTAGTAATGCATACTTGTAAATCAATATACATTGAGGAATTAAAGCCTCTTGTTTATAAAAAGTCTTCGGTGTCTTTAAAAAACAAAAATTCCAGCTCATGGTAGTCAAGTGACTGATAGATGAATGAATGAAGACATCTCATACACACAAATATAATTCCTCCCTCAATTATCCAAGTTCTAGCTGACTTTGACAGTGAATATTGTCTTGCCACTGTGATGTAAAAAGTTTAAATTATGCTAATACATTATTTGTTGTTGTTTCACTAGTCTATGTATACAACAAATCATCCCTAGTCATAGTGGCAAACAACTTTTTATTATCTTTTACATTTCTGTCAATTGACAGGACTCAGCTGGACAGTTTTCACTTAAGGCTTCTTGCAGCATTGCAAACAAATGTCATCCAAAGGTTTGATTGCCCTAGACATCCAAGATGGTAGGCAGTTAATTCTGGATGTCACATGAGAGTTGAGCTAGGGGTTTAGACCAGAGGATCTACATGGGACATCTTTGTGTGGCTCAGGCTTCTTACAAGTTCTTCGAGGAAGCATCATAAATATAAGTATACCAAGAGATCTGGGAGAACATGCAAGACTTAGTATGACCTAGACTTTGAAATCCCAGAATATTTCTTTGCTGTATTTTATAGGAAAATGTAAGCCACCAGATCCAGGCATGATTCAAGAGGAAGGGAACTAGACTCCATCTTTTAATGTGGGAAGTGTAGACATACATGGAGGGAAGGAATTAATAGTTTTTAGCTTTGACTATCGCAGCTTTTTAGTGGTTCTTCTTTCTTCAAAGACATAAGCATGTCTCAAAATTAAGTGAAATATTTTAGTCAAAGCACTTCTCTCTGTGGTATAAAGAGGCCTGATACCATTTTAACTCCTTACTTATTACTCCTTGAGGCAGAGGAAAAGTAGCAAAACCGTTAAATGGGAATGATCTCATTTCAATTGAGTATTGAACATTGTCAATAATTGTATGCTTTGCTGTATAAACGGCAAATATTGTAGAAACTGTGAAATATCAAGAAAATATAATAACCCTTGTTTTACCTAGTGACAGGCTGTTAAAGTCTATGAAAGATCATACTTTTAATTTCATGTACATCTCAATGAAGCAAATACTTGTACTCTTATTTTGCAGATGAGCCTCAAGAGGTTAAGTGTTGTTTCCCCCTCCCCCCTAAAAATGCACACTTAATAAATAGTAAAACTGAGACATCAGTCCAGGGATTTTGTTCTTTTTACTATATATGCTGTTAGAAAAAGTTTATAAATACTGTGAAAACTTGTGGAGAATTTGGAGGTGAGAGCATGAAAACAGGGCGAAGACACAGTAGGAGCCAGGGAACATTATGCTGAGAAACTTTCCTTTTACTGCTAGTTATTTCAACAAACATTTTCTACAATCTATACTACTAGAGTGGCGAGCCTTATGGTAACCACTGTCTGGGAAAAATTAAAAAACAAAACGAAACAAAACTCTAGACGTGGGGAGTGGAGAAAGAGCGAGCAATGTCATGGAGGTCATGGAACCGGCGGCCAGGATGAGGCACAGCATGGCTGGAGATGGTGTGTGGGAAATATATTGACAAGTGATGAACAATGAGATACACAGAGGAATGGGAGAGGAGACCCCTTCCCTCCCTCAATGCTCACACCCCCGCTGCTGAATAGCCTTTTGGGTTTGTATAGAGCTTGAGGAAGGCTGAAAGAAATCATGAGAACATCCATAGGCCGGCTGCAAGGCACTCTCTATTTTTTTTTTCTCTTTACACTGTTTAAAAACAAAGCAAAACAAAACAAAACTGCATGCCGATAGCAAGATGAATTAATTTAAATTTTCAATAATATCAAAGGAATATAATGTAACAAACAAAGTACGCTATTGCCTAATTATATAGTATTATGTTTCTGCTCGAGTCATGTGTATAGCCTAATCTTAAAAACGAGGGGAAAATAGTATGAGTAGCAGCAACTTTATTTGATTCCTTTCTCTAAACAGTTTATAATTGCTTTAAAACTGGCATCAATTTTTAAGAAAAGTACTCTGACAAATACAATTATAAAAAAGATATAATGAAAGTGTTCAACATCACCTATTATATTATTTTTAGTATTTACCACTGATTTATATGTGTTACTAATTGGAAGATTAATCTAGGCAAATATTGTTCATTAGGCTTAAAATCTCATCAAAACCTAACTCAAAAAAAAAAAAAAAAAAAAGATCAGGCCACATAAGCAACTTTTTCAGTTATACATTTTTAAGTAAGTTGATTCACATCTTTTAGGGGTTAAGTGGTCTCAAATTATTTTTATAACATTGATATACATTTCAATTTGTGAGAGCAAGTTGCATTTCTTTAAAAGGATATCAAATTGTAATGTCATTCTTCATCTGCCTTTAATTCTTATCTATGCATTCATCTACATCCATCCCAGCCTATTATGAATAATGATTTCTAACTATTTTATGATCCATGTTTTTGCTGCAAAATGCACAAAAGTAATTAAGGCAAATTGGAACAATTACAGAAATACACTATTCAATAACTCAGTTGCCAAAAAAGTTTTACTGTACCCTAAGGAGGAAAAAAAATGCCTATACAGCAGTAATATCATTCCACACGTTTCATTTATTCCTGCAAGCCAGCCAAGCTCAAATTAATTGTACTGACTAAACTTTTCTTCTTGGAGAAAATTAAAGATATGCTGTTGTCAACACTTGAGCACAACCTTGCCGACACTTAAACTCAGAGAAGGGTGTGACATCCTACCCCGGCTGCCTTGCGCTAATTAATCACTCTGGTATTTAGGACCATTCAAGCAGACAAATTAATGGGGAATAATTAGTGTATCTTTGTTCCAGCTCAGCTTTGCACATCAGACACTCTCAGGGAGAGAGGGGAGTTTGCAGAGCGCAAGCCATTAGCATGTGCATAGTTTCACTTCTGTTCAGCAAGTTCTTCAGAGATTAAGAGAAAGGCCAAATTAGCAGACGTGTGACTGGGGTTAGGACACCCTTCTGGAAAGAAAGCTCTCTGTTTGGGTATCAGCTTTCAGAAGCAAGTCGATAATCCAGAGACTGAATTTCATAAAACACAATTAAACCTCAGGGATGAAATAATTCCAGAAACCAAAAACATGTTTTTAAAAAAATATAGTGAAAATATTATTATTATTTATACTGTTTGTATTTATTTATACATCACAGAGAAAAAGGCAGCCCTCAGAAATTTCACTTTTTCTCTATATTATTGTTGGTTTTTGTAAATTCTTATTGAAAATTGATTTTTATCAACAAATGGTATTTATAAAGTTTGTAATTAAAGTGTGTAGACCATTTAACCTCTCTCCATTTAGTTAGAACTCTCTGTAGATACTCCCTACGGCCATAAAACTTAATTTGTTTCTTCTGATAGGAATCAGAGAGTAGAAAATTCAGACAAAGTCTCTATACACAGTCAGTGTGACCGGCATAGTATTGATTAAAGTCTGTCCCATTTTATGCTGCTGACTGGTTTCAACGTGCATGTGGACTGAAGGCACAGTTTCTTATTGAAATATATTTAAAAACTAAAAATAAAGTATTGAGATTTACTACATTCAGAATATATCATGATTTGGCTTCACTACTGAAAAATTTTAAAAGATGAAACCAATTGACTCATATGAGTACATATTTTCCTGGATTAAAACCATGGGTTTTACTTTGATACACAAATTCTTCCCCTCACCAGACAAAAACATCTGATTTTTTACACAAATAATGCTTCCAACATTATATTTTATCCTGATGATAAATTATTTCTGAGCTTTTTATTAACAGTTTGCTATATACAGAACTTATCTAAACATACTGCAAATAATTGTGTGAATATATGTATATCCATACACATAATCACACTTGGTTTATACCATATGTGTGCATGATCTTTTATTGCTTTTTCTCATGTGTCTGCAGTTTATGTAAAGGAGGCATTTTTCCTGTTTTCCTACCTAAACTTCCTATGTTTTGTATGTCCAGTGACTATTTTCTACATGTTACTATCTAACCCTCCAGCTTTATCACTTAACAAGCAAGGCAAGAATTATTGCTATAGCATACAGAGAACATTCCTGCGGATTCCATACTCACTGTAGGAAGGCTCAAAACACAGACCTCCTCACTCTCAGAGAACAAGGGTACTGCATGGAAAGGCAGGCCCAGAGGGTCAGGAGCTGATGTTAAGAGAGACCACACAGTGTGAAAATAGACCACATTCCCAGACCAGTTATCAATTCTTTTGTAAAGAGATTCCACCACCCTAACTACAAATGTGAATTAAATGTGGGACACTGTGAGTACATTTAGTTCTATTAATAGCACATAACATAAAAATAGTCCAAAAAAGGAATTTCCCTACCTGGACCATACCAAAATTTATGATATTGCTTTACCACATGCAGCTTCTAGATCTCATAAAAATATGATATTGTTAGGCATAATGCTCTTGAATTTGTGCTGGTGGAATGGAAGGAAAAAAAAACAATCACAAAACTATATATTCTTACAATTTCTTAGAGAGGAGAAATGAATCTCTCTCCAGTCTCAGTTGAAATACTAAATTACTGCCTATGATAAGCCCAGATACCATTAGAAAGGCTTCCATCCTGGGAGTAGGTCCTCCTAGATCTTTGAAGGTGCCTAATCCTCATTAAAGGCAAACCCTGGGCGTAGGAGGGGCTGCGCTGGCATCAAGGCACCTGGCGACGACTAAAAGCGCTGGCCCCATGTGCGGCTGCTGCTGAGCAGCAGAATGTAATTTAGTCGCACCAGCGGGAGCAGAGGTCAATGATTTTATATTAATGGGGATCACGACAGTTCTAAGCTGTGGCATGCTTTGAAATAAGTGTTGTACAAGGCAGCAAAGAGAGCTCAGCTGAGGAAATGAGCTGTGTCACTGTCTCCTCATGCCTTGCAGCAAACACTGGAATGTTTTTAGTTGCCACAGACTCTGTGCCATCATAATATTTTATAAACAACAATTACCTGTTTCATTTTGCAAAACTCAGACTCCTAAAGTAATGCTGCTCAAGATGCCACAAAGGATGAACAAATTCCTTTCTAATCGAAATTCGGACCAAGTTGTGTGGACAAAGAATAAATATCTGGGATGTTCATATCTGAAAACTAACTAATGAAAACAAGTGCAAGTGTGTTGTGGGTGTCTGTTGTGATACTATTGAAAGATGGTATAGCATCTTTGATAACTTTGACATGTTATCAAAGTGTCCACACCTAAAACAAAAGAGATGGAAAGGGAATTCAAGGCAATGCTTTTAAATTTTAGTCAATATTAAACCTTCATCTGCAGTTGAAAGCACTGTTATCACATCTTTACCAAAATTTATCTACGTTTTTACATTTATTTTCAGGGATATCAGTTTTAGACTCCATGTTAAATTTTTAGAAGATTGATATTTTTTTCCAAATTAGTAATCGGGAATGGGGGGCAAGAAATCATTTTTGTCAGCATCTCTGAAGGTAGGGAAAAGAAGGAAAATCGAGCTCTTCCAAGCTTCACAGGGAAAAGAAGGAAAATCGAGTTCTTCCAAGTTGCAAGGACGGTCAGATGAGAAGGGTACATTATATGTGGAAAACAACAGAGGTATGACAAGAAATGAAGTTTCTATTTTCAAAACTTCTTTTGAAGTAAGCAGGACAGAGGTACCAGAGCCAATAGGAATAAGCATATAAGCTGTGCCAAATATGATTGATTAGGAGACCTCTACCATTAAGTGATCAACAGCTCGCCAAGAGTTATAAAAAAAAAAATTAACTGTGAAAAGGCAAATGTGTTGACCAGAATATTAAAATCTATTCCTATAAATTTCACTTGGTAAAACAATTGATTCATTTTCAATAGTTCTTCCATGCACAAGAAAAGTCCTAGCTGGGCTCTGGGATTAGTGAGCCACTACTGGAGAAAAAAAAAGTGCTATAATTGAACATTGAGTTATATATCATCTGAAAAAACACTTTCTGCAAAACAAAATCCAAGCTTGACTAGTTTATTACAGATATACTTTCCAAAGATGATCTGTGAAACTACAGTGCCACGGCAGATGTTCAATGCAAAATCTCACATACATGCAGACATATATATATATATATATATATATATATATATAAAGTTTCTGTAGTTAGATCTGTTTAAAAAACACTGCATTTTATAAGGTTATTTTCTGTATTACTAAAGAACATTAGCATATTAGAGGCACTAAGTTCTGAAATAAAGAATCTCTTAAGTTTCCTTCAGATCTTTACTGTCCAACTAATTTTATTACTTTTTTCCCCCCTGACCTTATGATCATTCTCCTTGCTGAAATACGCTTTGGGAAATTCCATATTAGAATTCAGTAAGTTAGTGAATATGTATTTTTATCAAGCTGAACTAGACTAGATGCAATCTCTGCCCCAAGTTTATTCCCCTACACCTAGGAACTGATTAATAGAAAATTTGGGTTGTTAATTATAATTAAATTGAGATCAGACTTTCAGAAGGTGTGCAATAAAGTAGACGGTATTTATAATTTTATATGCCAAAAATTGGAGCAGCACTATTTATTTTTCCCCGGAAGACAAAGGCAAAGAAGAGTAGGTATGTTTCTACCTACAAATGTGAGGAATGGAAGTTACCAAAGCTGTGATGTGGATATTTTCTAAATTCATCATGCTTTTAAATAACTTGGAATATAAAGTTGCTTGGATGTTCTAAGACCGGAGATACACGTAGTTTTGAAGGAGTAATCAGAGCAGAGAGTAGGGCCAGATAAATGAGTCATTGTCTCAAGAACAGAAGGGATAACGAAAAACTCAGTAATCAAGATACATAATATTTTAATCAATAGATTTCAATATTAAAATTTATGCAAATAAATCCATGATGAACAAAATATCAAAATTTTAAATAAAGACAGGATTAGTGTTACTGATGGTCCCTTTTGCCTTAGGCTCCAATATGGCTCAGCACAGCACTGGGATAAGAAAGTACCAGGAGACAAACTGCAAGAAGAAAGGAGCACTTAATTGGGTGTCCAAATTAGCTCTGATTCTTCCTGATAATAAACAGCCACATAACTTTAGAAAGCCTTATAAATATACCATGTCTGTGTTTACTCATTTACAGAGAGGACAATAATTCTCTAACTATTCTGAGAAGCATTCAATCAATGAAGTTTTTATAGATGTTCAAAGAAAAAATAAAAATGGATAGTAATTTTGATATCTAATATATTTGGAAAAAGCGCTGTTGAATTTGATCAGGTTTCCTTACTTCAGAACTTCTCATATATTTTTAACATGTTAGTGTATTTTATAATTGTCTTATAAGAAAACAGAGTATTTAAACAACTAGAGCACTTATTAACATCTTATTCACAGTATGAAAAATGCTGAACAAAATGATCTCAAGTTTCCTCCTCCCTTTAAAACTTTAAAATTCTAAAGAGACTTTTTAAAGGTAACATGCACAGAGTAAATAGCAGTTTAGTACAAATGCACAGAGTAAATAGCAGTTTAGATAC
Organism: Homo sapiens; assembly: GCF_000001405.40. Lineage (NCBI taxonomy): Eukaryota > Metazoa > Chordata > Mammalia > Primates > Hominidae > Homo > Homo sapiens. The sequence continues at coordinate 98,113,890 of NC_000006.12, read as the reverse complement.
TTCATAAAAAATAAATTGAAATATGCTTACAGAAATATGTATTTTAATCGATCATTTACAGCACAGCAAAGTGATCTCTCATATCCATATTCCTGAAAAACAGAGAATCTACATGTTGGCTTCAACAGCCAGAAACAAATGTTAGATTAGGCTGAAGTTCTCATACTGAAACCTTACAGAAGATATGTAAAGGGTGGAAAATGAATGGAATAGAAACTGAGACACCATAGTTAGCTGACAGTGGATGAGAAGGGTAATTTTATGGGAACATATATTTTTAAAAGACGCTTCAGTATATGAATATGAAGTTTGAGAAACAATATAACAAAAGTTTATCAATCATAAAACACTAAAATGTATACACACAGTCATACAGGTATTGTATATTTTGTGTGTGTGTGCGTGTGTGTGGGTGTGTGTGAGAGACAGAGAGAGAGAAAGAACAATTAGGTATTAAATGTTGAAAGGGATACTTTCAAGGCATCCTTCACATAAAATGAATCCATACTCAGAGACAATCATTCTGAAGAAATTACATCAATGGCTTCTAAAATGCTTTAGAAAAAAATGATGAAAAACAAATCTATGGTAGTTTAATAATACATGTAGCAATTTTTTGGAAGAGCTCAATATCTAATAGTATAACTAAATATTTTGCAAAATGTGTCATGGAACCTGTGTTCAAAACAAACAACTGAGTTGGAATTTTCATGAATCTCAACATAGATATTACTTTTTATCTTCTCTTTAGACTTTGAAAATTTCAAGTGTGTTCCTCTATAACCTTATGTCAATTTTGTAAATCTCAAGCTATACCTACCACTATCACAGCAAAATTAAGGGAAAGGTCCATATATCTACTACCCTCACACTTGCATGGTCTGCCCAATTATCAACATCTCCTACCAGAGTGGAATATTTGTTACAACTGAACCTACGTGGCTGCATTGTCACCAAAAGTCCATAATTTACATTAGGTTTCACTCTTGGTGTTGTACAATTGATGGGTTTCACCAAATGCCTAATGACATGTATACACCATTATGGTAACATACAGAGAGTAGTTTTATTGCCCAAAACAAAATCGTCTGTGTTCTGGCTATTAATTCCTTTCTCAACCTCTGGAAACCACTGATCTTTTATTAATTATCTCCACAGTTTTTCATTTTCCAGACTGTTACATGGTAGGAATCATACAGTATATAGCTGTTTCAGATTGGCTTCTTTCACTTAGTGATATGCATTTAAGTTTACTCCATGTCTCGTCATGGCTTGATAACTAATTTCTCTTTAGCAATGAACCATATCCCACTGTGTGGAAGTTCATTTTCCATTCATCTACTGAATGACATCTTGGCTGTTTCCAAGTTTTGGCAATTATAAATAAAGCTGCAGGTTTTTGTGTGGACATAAGTTTTCAACTTATTTGTGTTAACACCAAGAAGACTTGTACCTATTTTAATTCATCCTACCAGATGACAAAACAATAAACTTGATTAAATGCAGTTGTGCCAATTCTAGTACATACAGTTGCTCTGAATAAAGTTGAAGAAACACACACACACACACACACAGACACACAGAGTGTTTCTGAACTCACTTTACATTTATGAGCACAAACTTCAATTTTTTTTAGTGCTCGATTGTTCTGTACTTCCGTTCACTCTCTCAATTATCTAGAATAATGTATGATTCATATTTCCTCCTCTCCAGGTCTCTAGTATCTCCTCCCTCATGTTCACTCTCAGGCATGTCCTTGCTCTGTATTTCACTGAGAAAATAGAAATCAATCGAAGGGAATTTCCATAAGTTTTTTCCATTTTTTTCACACTTCTAGAAACCTACCTTTGTAACCTTACATTTTGCCTTTTTTTTTTTCTATTACTGTGGAGGAATTGTTCTTACTCCTACATAGGCCAAATCCTCCATTCACCTGCTGGATTACATCGCATATGGCCTAATCAAGTACACCGCTCAAGCAAATCTTTCCTTTCTTGCATACCATAATTTTCTTCTCTCTACGTTTTCCCTTCCCATTTCCGCCTAATTCTCTCCTTCCTTTTATATCAAAACTTCCTTGAAGACATCTAATCTCACTTTCTCCTCCCACTTTCATTTGACTCCACTCCAAACAGGCTTTTTGCCACTCTCCACTACACCTAAACTAAGTTATCAGTGAACTCTATTTTGCCAAGCCCAGTGGTCAACTCTTGTTATCCATTATATTTCTGCTATAAGTAATATTTTACATTTTTCACATCCATTACCACTTTAAATCAAACTATCATTATCTCCCTCCTAGATTATTACTAAAGCCTCTCAACTGCTCCAGCTCTCACGTTGCCCCCCTCCAAACTATACCTAGCTGAAGCCAGAGGAATTCTGCAAAAATGTAAAGTGCACCAATGCACTTTTATGCTCATAGTTCTCCATCCTACTCAGGGTAAAAGACAAAGACTTCCTAACGTAAGAAGTTATAACTAACCTGGTCACCTGTCACCTCTGAGTTTATCATCTATTCCTCTCTTTTTCACAAGCCGGGTCATTCTGCTAAAATCATATTTGCCTCTCCGTTGTCCTTTAAATAAACTAGGCATGCTCCCAACTCACATCCTTTGATGTTGTTCTTTCCACTGCCTCTTATAATCTCAACTTTAATATTCATAGGATTTGTTTCCCTTTTCCTTCAGGTCTTAACTAACCCACTACCTTCCCAGAGCATTCTTCTCTAGGTATGCTGTCTAAAATTGTGTACACACACACACACACACACACACACACACACGTCATACTTCCTATAACACTACCCTAGTTATTATCTACTGCACTTATCACTATCTGACATATTGCAAATTGTATTGTTTTCTTTAATGTATAATTTACGTTTTCCATCTTATATTTTACTTTCTACCTATTAATTTTTCTCATTTAGAATGTGAGCTCCTGAGGGCAAGTTTTTCTTCTTCAGTTCTGTTTACAGCTGTATCCCCAGGACCTAAAACAAGTCTATAACAAACAGGTGCCCGAAATGTATTTGCTGAATAAATTAAATGAATGAATTTTGACTTCATTTCAGTTGAAAGCATTACTCTATTTATCTAATTATAATAGTGAAATAATTTGTCCAAAAGTAATGCATAATATTCTAGTGAGAATGATTAGAAACAATGTAAGGGATCCTTATTTCTTTCTTTCTACCTTATATTACACCTCAAGTTTTTGGTCAATTTAATCTTTAGCTCTACAAAGTTTTCATTTTTATATTATCAAACAAGCCTATCAATTCTTTTCTGGCAACTGGATTCCTATTCTTGGTTAAGAAGGCACCTCGCAGATTCCAGGTTGCAAATATAATCTCCAAAGTATTTGTACAGATCCTTTCAAAAACACCTGAAATTTTTGTATATGTTGTATTACAGCAGTCCAACTTATTGATTAATTACTCCTATTTGTAATGCTATTTATTTAGACTTTCACCTATAGGTAGAAATACATATATTAGCCTAGACTTACATAGGGTCAGTATCATTGAGATACCACTAGGCTATATAATTTTTTCAGCTTCAGTATAATATTATAGGACCACCATCATATATGTAGTCCATCACTGACTAAAATATCACCATGCGATTCATGATTATATATATACAAGCATATCTCCTTTCATTGCACTTCACTTTAATGCACTTTGTTAGATACTGCATTTTTTACAAATTGAAGATTTGCAGTAACCCTGCATTGCGAAGTCCATTGGTGACATTTTTTCCAAGAGCATGTGCTCACTTTGCATCTCTGCATCACATTTTGGCAATTCCTGCAATATTTAAAACATTTTTATTTCTGTTATGGTAACCTATGATTGGTAATCTCTGATGTTACTATTGTCATTGTTTGGAGCACCACAAACTGCACCCATTTAAGTTGGCCAACTTAATCTATAAATGCTGTAAAAATTCTATGTGTTCTGACTGGTCTATTGACCAGCCATTCACTGCCTCTTTCCATCTTCTTGGACCTCTCTATTCCCTGAGACACAACAATATGGAAATGAGGCCAACACTTATAGCGTGTAAGTGTTCAAGTGAAAGGAAGAGTCACTCTAAATCAAAAGCTAGAAATGGGTAAGCTTAGTGAGGAAGGCATGTCAAAAGTCGAAACAGGGTGAAAGCTAGGCTGCTTTCATCAAACAGTTAGCCAACTTGTGAATGCAGAGTAAAAGTTATTGAAAGAAATTAAATGTGCTACTCCAGTGAACACAAGAATGAGAAGAAAGCAACACAGACTTATTGCTGATATGGAGAAGGTTTGAGTGATTGTCTTGATAGAAAACCAAACCAGCCAAAATATTCCTTTAAGACAAAGCCTAATCCAGAGCAAGCCCCCAACTCTTCAATTCTATGAAGGCAGATCGACGTGAGGAATCTGTAGAAGAAATGTTTGAAGCTAGTAGAGGATTGTTGATGAGATTTAAGGAAAGAAGCTATCTCCATAACATAAAAGTGCAAGGTGAAGCAGCAAGTGCTGATATAGAAGCTGCAGCAAATTATCCAGAAGAGTTATCTAAGATCATTGATAAAGGTGACTACACTAAACAACAGATTTTCAATGTAGATGAAACTGCCTTACATGTTGGAAGAGGATGTCATTTGGTTCTTTCATAGCTAGAAAGGAGAAGTCAACACCTGCCTTCAAAGCTTCAAAGAGCAGGCTGACTCTCTTGTTAGGGGCTAATGCAGCTGGTGACTAAGTTGAAGCGAATGCTCATTTACCATTCCAAAAATCCCAGGGCCCTTAGGAATTAGGCTAAATCTACTCTGCTCGTGCCTTATATATGGAAACAACGAAGCCTGTATGACAGCACATTTGTTGAAAGCAAGGTTTACAGAATATTTTAAGCTCACTGATGTTGAGACCTACCGCTCAAAAAAAAGATTTCATTCAAGCTATACTGTTCGTTAACAATGCACCTAATCACCCAAGAGCTCAGATGAAGATGTACGAGGAGATTAACTTTGTTTTCATGGCTGCTAACATAACAACCATTCAGCAGTCCATGAATCAAGGACTAATTTTTACTTCCAAGACTTAGTATTTAAGAAATACATTTTGTAGGGCTACAGCTGCCATAGAAAGTAATTCTTTCGATAGACCTGGGAAAAGTAAACTGAAACATTCTGGAAATAATACACCATTCTGGACATCATTAAGAACATTTGTGATTTATGGGAGGATGTCAAAATATCAATATTAACAGGAGTTTATAAGAAACTGATTCTAACCTTCATAAATGACTTTGAGGGGTTCAAGATTCAGTGGAGGAAGTAGTGGTAGATAGAACAAGAGAATTAGAATTGGAAGTGGGCCCAAAGATAAGGCTGAATTGCTATAATCTCATGATAAAACTCATAAGAAACTGCTTCTTATGGATGAGCAAAGAAACTGGTTTCTGAAGATGGAATCTGCTCCTGGTGAAGATGCTGTGAGCAGTGTTAATAAGACAACAAGGGATCTAGAATATTACACCATTTTAGTTGATAAAGGAGTGGCAGAGTTTGAGTTCCAGTTTTGAAAGTTCTACTTTGGGTAAAATGCTCTCAAGTAGCATTGCATATTACAGAGAAACTTTTTGTAAAAGGAAGAGTCAATTTATGGCAAACTTTGTTTTATTTTAAGAAATTGCCATACCCCACCCAACTTTCAGCAACCCTGATCAGTCAGCAGCCATCAATATCAAGGCAAGACCATCTACCAGCAATGAGATTACAACTTGCTGTAGGCTCAGATAATTGCTAGCATTTGTTAGCCATAAAGTTTTTTTTTTCTAAATGAAGTTAGGTACATTTTTTAGACATGATGCTATCATTACTCACTTAAAAGACAATAGTATAAAGTGAACATAACTTTTATATGCACTGGGAAACCAAAAACAATTGTGTAAGTTGCTTTCTTGCACTATTTACTTTATTCCAGTGGTCAGGAATGAAACCTGCAATATTTACACACTTTTATTTTTAATAAGTCTCCTGAAGTGTTTTTCTTTATACAATACCTATTAAATGAACAGCTTTGATTTTATTTATCATTTACTATTTTCTATATTTTACCTTATTAATTTAAAATTTTTAACTTTTATATGGTAAGCCCTCTTTCTACTTTATTTTGCACTGTTTTGTAACTATTTTTCTAATTTCATAAAATAATTTGTACATTTTTTTTTTTTTTGAGATGGAGTCTTGCTGTTGCCCAGGCTGCAGTGCAATGGTACCATGTCAACTCACTGCAACCTCCGCCTCCTGGGTTCAAGCGATTCTCCCGTCTCAGCCTCCCAGGTAGCTGGGATTACAGGCGTACACCACCACACCCAGCTAATTTTTATATTTTTAGTAGAGACGGGGCTTTGCCATGTTGGCCAGGCTGCTCTCAAACTCCTGACCTCAGGTGATCCACCGACCTCAGCCTCCCAAAGTGCTGGGATTACAGGCATGAGCCACCATGCCCGGCCTTGTTTTTCTTTTTTATTAAGACATTCATAATGCATTTTCTTCAGATAAGTACTTTTCCTGTGTTCTTACAATTATGTCACAAAGTGTTGTGTTTTTATTTTTTATTTTTTGCTTTCTAGAGATATAATTTTCCTACTTAAAAAAAAAATCTGATCCAATAATTGTCTAATTTCCAAGTAACCTCAGAATACTTTAGCTTTTGTTTTTCTTGTGCTTTATTTATTTATTTGGTAATAATTAGAGAATGTGGCCTAGAAATTCCCTTGTTTTAAATTTCTTAATGTTTCCTTTGTGGCCAATTTTGGACAATTTTTACAAACTCCCCATAATACACAAATTAAGTATCTTAACTTTTCAAGAGATACAAACTTCTATGTATAGCTAATTGTTGAACATTATTGATTTTATTATTCATCTTATTTTTATGGCTATTTTCTTCCTGTCTCTCTCTAAGCCTAAAAGTGGGTAATTGAAATATTCCTCTACAAACAGATTCAGCTATTTTGTGGCCTATTGAAAAGAAGTTTATCTTTTTCATATATTATCTTCTATATATCATATCTTCTTTATAATACACTCATTTTATTATTAGTTGGTATTTTAGTTCATTTTCAGACTTTTAATATTGACTGTATCATGTCTGATATTACCATTGACACTTCTACAATCTTTATCTTTGCCTCCTGTTCATTTGTCTATTGCTTTATCTTTAAACTTTCTTTTATGTATACCTTAAGTGTGCTTAAACTCTGTTGTATTTTTTAACTCAATATCATAGTCTCTTTCTTATGAGAAAATTCAGTTCATTCATGTATAGCATTATCTTATAAATTTGACTTTGTTGCTTCTATGTTAATTAAATATTTCTTAGATACTGAATTTTCCCTTTTTCTCAATTGACTAGGTTGCTTCATTCTATTTTACCCTTGTAAATGTGAAAGCAAAACTATAGTTCACTATTTTATTAATATTTATTCTCCATTTTCTACTTGTACAATCATGTGCACATTTCTCTATCATCTTTAGAATAAAGAGTCAGGTGTTTTCCCCACTCTAATGCACTTTTATGTATGTAAAAATGCTTTACTTTATTTTTCTCCAAGACCCCTTTCCCACTACAATATTAGCTCAGAGAAATACAATGGGTTGTTCAAAAATTTCATGAAAAATGGGTATTATGAAAAAACTATGCCTGAAAATAAAAAAATTTGCATCAAAATAAACTCATCCTAACTTGTTCTAACATGTTTAAACAGGATCTAGTTTGAGGCACTATGAAGAATAATACACTGGTTTGAAAAGAGCCCCTATCATAGCAACATGAATTCTACAAAAATTGAAGCAGGAACAAACATCAACTTTATGGTGACGAGTGAGTGGAAGAATGGTGAAATCATTGACGCTCTACAAAAAGCTTCCAGGGACAATATTCCAAAGACGTCAGCAGTTTAAAAATGGATAACTCATTTTAAGAAGGGATAGGGTAATGTTAAATATAAAGCCCACAGCAGCAAACAATCCGTATCAACCTGTGAGGAAAAAATTAACCTTGATTTTGACCTAATTGAAAAGAACTGACAACAGCACAGACAATAGCCACCACTATAGACTTCCTAATTGATTCAGCTTACACAATTCCTATTGAAAAGTTAAAGATGAGCAAACTTTCCACTCAATGAGTGCCAAAACTGTGGCACCTAGATAAGTTACAAAAAACAGGAGAGATATCTATGGGAACTGTAAACAACTGAGATAGAGATTATGAAGAATTTCTTCAAAGAATTGCAACAGGAGATGAAACAGGGCTTTACCAGTACAATCCTGAAGACAATGCATAATCAAAGCAATGGCTACCAAGAGGTGGAAGTAGTCCAGTCAAAGAAGGGGACTGGTCAAGAGCAAAGATGATAACAGCATTTTGGGAATCTGAAGGCATTTTGCTTGTTGACTTTCTGGAGGGACAAAGAATGATAACATCTGGTTCTTATAAGAGTGTTCTGAAAAAGTTAGCTAAAGCTGTAACAGAAAAAATGCCCAGAGAGTCCTTCTCCACCATCACAATGTTCTTGCTCATTCCTCTCTGATCAAACATGGCAATCGTGCAGAAGTTTTAATAGGAAATTAAAATTTGAATAAAAACTAAAAGTTCCTAACATGGTGTTATTTTCCTCTTTTAATATATCTCCTAGCATCTTTAATAGTCAGTTAAAAATGTATGTAAAATATAATGTAAATGTCAGCAAAATAATGAAACACACAAAAAATTATATCAAAAATGAGACCTCCTGATAAATAACTCAGTGAAATATTAATGTAATCTTTATAAGAGGGTTCCAGTGAGGCAGCCCCTATGGCTGCACACCAGTCCACATTTCCCTCCCCATACCGCATCTTCCCCCTAGCCCACAACAAATCTCCACATCACTTTGCTGACAAGTGTCTGCATGGGCAGGCTTTGCTTTACTTGCCCTGCCAGTATGCAGAAGTTTAGTACACCTCAACTCTACTGACCGCCATTGCAGAGTGAGCCTTGGTGGGCACACAGCCAGCAAGCCCATCCCCTGCTAGTGTCTAGCCCTTGCACTGACACACTGTGCAGAATACAGGGCATCCTCCCACACCCTGAGCAATCACTACTGCTTGGAGAGCACAGAGAAGGAGCTCAGATGTGTGACAGCCAGCATGCTGCCCCAAGCCAACACAACCTTCAGAGCAACACAGCGCATGGTCTTCAGCAGAGAATCCCAACTCCTCCCCAGCTGCCTGGCCTCTGCCACTGTGGTGAACACCCACAGGAAAGCAGGCACCCCTGCATCCACTAGCACTCTGCTTCATCTGCCACACTTCAGTCCGCCCAGCACAGTGGACTCCAAACCTTGAGGAGTCAAAGAACAAAAGCCCAGTGCAAGTCCCCCAGAGTTAGAGCACACAGTCCAGAGTTGGGAGCTGAGTGTTGGCCTAAAATCTCACAGAAACTAAGCCAGTTGGCTGAATCCATCTTACACCACAATCAAACCCTCGAGGACATCAAATAGGATAAATGGAACTAAAAACTCATCCAAAGATCAGCAGCCTCAATGATTGAAGGCAAAAAAGATGAGAAATAAAGAGCACAAAAATGCTGAAAACTTAAAAAGCCAGAGTGCCATCTTTTCTCCAAATGAACACATCACCTCTCCAGCAAGGGTTTGGAACTGGACTGAGGCTGAGATATCTGAAATGACAAAAATAGAATTCAGAATATAGTTAAGAACAAGGTTCATTCAGCTATAGGAGCATGTTGAAGCCCAATGCAAGGATGTTAAAATCATTATAAAACATTACAGGAGCTGACCAACAGAGTAGACAGTAGAGAGAAGAATGGGACCAACCATATACAGCTGAAAAACACACTACAATAATTTCATAATGAAATCCATAAGCATTCATAGCACAATAGATGAAGAGGTGAAAAGAATCTTAGAGGCAGCTAGAGAGAAAGGTCAAGTCATCTACAAAGGGAATCTCATCAGACTAACAGTGGACATTTCAGCTGAAATATTACAAACCAGAAGAGATTGGGTGCCAATATTAGATATTCTTAAAGAAAAAAAAATCCAACTCAGAATTTCATATCTGGCCAAACTAAGCTTCAAAAGTGAAGGAGAAGTAAGATCCTTTTCAACAAGCAAGTGCTGAGGAAATTTGTCACCACCAGATCTGCCTTACAAAAGCTCCTGAAGGAAGCTCTACATATGAAAAGGAAAGACCATTATCAGCCATTATAAAAACATATTGAGGAACACAAACCAGTGACACTATAAAGCCGCCACATGAACAATTATGCAAAGTAACTAGGTAACATCATAATGACCTAACGAAAAGACACAGAGTGGCAAACTGGATGAAGAACCAAGACCGACTGGTATGCTGTCTTCAAGAGAGCCATCTCGCCTGGAACAACACACATAGGTTCAAAACAAAGAGATGTAGAAAAACCTACCAACCAAAAGAAAAATAAAAAAGCAAGGGTTACAATAGTAGTTTTTGACAAAACAGAATTTAAACCAACAAAGATCAAAAAAGACAAAGAAGGGCATTAAATAATGGTAAAGGGTTCAATTCAACAAGAAGATCTAACTATCCTAAATATATATGTACCCAACACAGGAGCACCAAAATTCACAAAGTAAGTTCTTAGAGACCTTCAAAGAGAAGTAGATTCACAAATATTAATAGTGGGAGGCTTTAGCATGCCACTGACAATATTAGATCATCGAGACAGAAAATTAACAAAGATATTCAGGACCTGAACTCAGCTCTGGATCAAGTGGACCTGACAGCTACAGAACTCCCCAACCAAAAACAACTGCATATACATTCTTCTCATCACCATATGGCACATACAGAAAAACTAATCACATTATTGGAAGGAAAACATTCCTCAGCAAATGCAAAAGAATTAAAATAATAACAGTCTCTTGGACCCACAGCACAATCAAATTAGAAATCATGACTAAGAAACTCACTCAAAACTACACAATTACATGGAAATTGAATAACCTGATCCTGAATGACTTTTGGGCAAATAATGGCATTAAAACAGAAATCATGAAATTTTTGAAACTAATGAGAACAAAGATACAAGATACCAGAATCTCTGGGACACATCTAAAGCAGTGTTAAGAGGGAAATTTATAGCACTAAATGCCCATATCACAAAGTTAAAAAGATCTCAAATTAACAACTTAATATCACAACTAAAAGTACTAGAGAACTAAGAGGAAAAAAATCCCAAAGCTGGCAGACAACAAGAAATAACCAAAACCAGAGCTGAACCAATGGAGATTGAAACGTGAAAAGCCATTCAAAAAGTCACCAAACTCAGAAGCTATTAAAAAAAAAGAAATCAATGAAATAGATAGACCACTAGGTAGACTAATTAATAAAAAAAAAGAGAAGATTCAAAGAAACACAATCAGAAATAACAAGGGGGTTATATCAGTGGCAATATCCACTGACCCTATAGAAACACAAACAACCATCAGATAATACTATGAACACCTCTATGCACATAAACTAGAAAATCTAGAAGAAATTGGTAAATTCCTGGAGAAATACACCCACCACCCAAGACTGAACAAGGAAAGAAATGAATCCCTGAACAGACCAATAATGAGCTCTGAAATTGAAGCAGTAATACATAGCCTACTAACCAATAAAAGCCCGGGACCCGATGAATTTACAGCTGAATTCTACAACAAGATGTACCAAGAAAAGCTGGTACCATACCCACAGAAAGTATTTTAAAAAATTGAAGAAGAGATACTCCTCCCTACCTCATTATATGAGGCCAGCATCAACCTGATACCAAAACCTGGCAGAGGCACAACAGAACAAGAAAACTTCAGGCAAATATCTTTGATGAACATTGATGCAAAAATCCTTAGCAAACTACCTGCAAATCAGATCCAGCAGCACATTAAAGTTTATCTACCATGATCAAGCAAGTTTCATCCCTGGGATGCAAGTTTGGTTCCACACACACAAAACGATAAATGTGATTCATCACATAAAACAAACTAAAGAAAAAAAAACACATGATTATCTCCAGTAGATGCACAAAAAACTTTCCATAAAATACGACATCCATTCATATCTAGTCTCAATAAGTGAGGTATTAAAGAAACATAACTCAAAATAATAAGAGCCATCTATGACAGACCCACAGCCCACATCATACTAAAAGGGCAAAAGCTGGAAGCATTTCCCTTGAAAACCAGCACATGACAAGGATGCCCTCTCTGACCATTCCTATTCAACATAGTATTGGAAGTCCTGGCCAGGGCAATCAGGCAAGATAAAGAAATAAAAGCATCCAAACAAGAAAAGAGGAAGTCAAACTAGCCCTGTTTGCAGACAACAGGATTCTATATCTAGAAAACCTGACAGTCTCAACAAAAAAGCTTCTTAAGCTGACAAAAAATTTCATCAAAGTCTCAGGATACAAAATCAATGTGCAAAATTCACTAGCTTTCCTATACACTAACAACAGTCAAGCTGAGAGACAAATCAATAATATACTCCCATTCCTAATTGCCAAAGAAAAAATGAAATGCCTAGTAATACAGCTAACTAGGGAGGTGAAAGATCTCTACAAGGGTAACTACACAGTCCTGCTCAAATAAATCAGAGATGACACAAACAAATGAAAAAACATTTTTGTGCTCATGGATAGGAAGATTCAATATCAAGAATATGGCCATATTGCCCAAAGCAATTTATAGATTCAATGCTATTCCTATTAAATTAACA